>NC_000020.11:28697858-28719061 GCF_000001405.40 Homo sapiens | reverse complement strand
ATATGCGGTGTTTGGTTTTTTGTTCTTGTGATAGTTTACTGAGAATGATGACTTCCAATTTCATCCATGTCCCTAAAAAGGATATGAACTCATCATTTTTTATGGCTGCATAGTATTTCCCATGGGTGATATAGACTGGATCAAGAAGATTTAGCAGTTTTTAAAAAATCTTTTTGTAGTGTCTGCAAGGGGATATTTGGAGCGTTTTGGGGCCTATTGTGGAAAAGGAACTATCTTCACATAAAAACTAGACAGATTTGTCTACTATTTATGTGAAGGTATTTCCTTTTCCAAAATATGCCCCAAAGCACTCCTATTATCCACAGGCAGATTCTACAAAAAGAGTGTCTCAAAATTGCTCAATCAAAAGAAAATTTCAACTCTGTGAGATGAATGCAAACATCACAAAGAAGTTTCTCAGAATGCTTCTGTCTAGTTTTTAAGTGAAGATATTTCCTTTTCCTCCATAGGCGTCAAAGTGCTCCAAATATCCTCTAGCAGATTCTACAAAAAGAGTGTTTCAAAACTGCTTAATCAAAAGAAATGTTCAAATCTGTGAGAGGAATGCACACATCACAAATAAGTTTCTCAGAATGTTTCCTCTAGTTTTTATGTGAAGATATTTCCTTTTCCACCATAGTCCTCAAAGTGCTCCAAATATCCACTGGCTGATTCTCCGAAAAGAGCATTTCAAAACTGCTCAATCAAAAGAAATTTTCAATCTGTGAGATGAATGTGCACATCACAAAGAAGTTTGTCAGAATGCTTTCCGTGTAGCTTTTATGTGCATTTATTCCCTTTTCCACAATAGGCCTCAAGTGGCTCCAAATGTCCACTTGCAGATTCTACAAAAAGAGAGTTTCAAAACTGCTCAGTCAAAAGAAATGTTAAACTCTCTCTGATGAATGCACACATCACAAAGAAGTTTCTCAGAATGCTTCCATCTAGTTTTTATGTGGAGATATTTCCTTTTCCGCCATCGGCCCCTAAGCACTCCAAATATCCACTTATAGATTCTTCAAAAAGCATGTTTCAAAACTGCTGAATCAAAAGAAAGGTTCAACTCTGTGAGTTGAATGCACATATCAGAGAAAAGTTTCTCAGAATGCTTCTGTCTAGTTTATATGTGAAGGTATTTCCTTTTCCGTCATACTCATCAAAGCGTTCCAAATATTCACTTGCACATGCTACAAAAAGAGTGTATCAAATCTGCTCAATGAAAACAATGGTTCAATTTGGTGAGATAAGTGAACATATCACGAGGAAGTTTTGCAGAATGCTTCTGTCTAGTTTTTCTGTGAAAATATTTCCTTTACTACCATAGGACACAATCGCTCCAAATATCGACTTTCAGATTCTACAAAAAGGGTGTTTCAATACTGCTCGATGAAAGGAAAGATTCAACCCAGTGAGATGAACGCACACATCACAAAGAAGTTTCTCAGAAGGCTTCTGTCTAGTTTTTATGTGAAGATATTTCCTTTTAAACCATAGGCCACAATTCGCTCCAAATATCCACTTGCAGTTGCATCAAAAAGACTGTTTCAAAACCCTCAATCAAAAGAAAGTTTCAACACTGTGAGATGAATGCACACATTACAAAGAAGTTTCTCAGAATACTTCTGTCTAGTTTTTATGTGAAGATATTTCCTTTTCCACCACAGGCCTGAAAGCACTCCAAATATCCACTTGCAGATCCTACAAAAAGAGTATTTCAAAACAGCTCCATCAAAAGAATGGTTCAGCTTGGTGAGATGAATGCACACATCACAAAGAAGTTTCTCAGAGTGTTTCCTTCTAGTTTTTATGTGAAGATATTTCCTTTTCCACCATAGACCACAAATCGCTCCAAATACCCACTTGCATATACAACAAAAAGAGTGTTTCAAAACTGCTCAATCAAAAGAAAGGTTCAACTCTGTGAGATGAAGGCACTTATCACAGAGAAGTTTCTCAGAATGCTTCTGTCTAGTTTATATGTGAAGATATTTCCTTTTCCAAGATAGACCTCAAACCGCTGCAAATATCCATTTACAGATATTACAAAAAGAGTGTTTCAAAACTGTTCAATCAAAAGAAAGGCTGAAATCTGTGAGTTGAATGCACAGACCACCAAAAGTTTCTCAGAATGCTTCTGTCTAGTTTTTATGTGAAGATATTTATTTTCCACCATAGGCCGCAAAGCGCTCCAAATATTCACTTGCAGATTCTAGAAAAAGAGTGTTTCAAAAGGCTAAATGAAAAGAAAGGTTCAACTCTGTGATATATATGCACACGTCACAAAGAAGTTTCTCAGAATGCTTCTGTCTACTATTTATGTGAAGGTATTTCCTTTTCCAAAATATGCCCCAAAGCGCTCCTATTATCCACAGGCAGATTCTACAAAAAGAGTGTCTCAAAACTTCTCAATCAAAAGAAAATTTCAACCCTGTGAGATGAATGCAAACATCACAAAGAAGTTTCTCAGAATGCTTCTGTCTAGTTTTTAAGTGAAGATATTTCCTTTTCCTCCATAGGCCTCAAAGCGCTCCAAATATCCTCTAGCAGATTCCACAAAAGGGTGTTTCAAAACTGCTTAATCAAAAGAAATGTTCAACTCTGTGAGAGGAATGCACACATCACAAATAAGTTTCTCAGAATGTTTCCTCTAGTTTTTATGTGAAGATATTTCCTTTTCCACCATAGTCCTCAAAGTGCTCCAAATATCCACTGGCTGATTCTCCGAAAAGAGCATTTCAAAACTGCTCAATCAAAAGAAATTTTCAATCTGTGAGATGAATGTGCACATCACAAAGAAGTTTGTCAGAATGCTTCCGTGTAGCTTTTATGTGCATTTATTCCCTTTTCCACAATAGGCCTCAAGTGGCTCCAAATGTCCACTTGCAGATTCTACAAAAAGAGAGTTTCAAAACTGCTCAGTCAAAAGAAATGTTAAACTCTCTCTGATGAATGCACACATCACAAAGAAGTTTCTCAGAATGCTTCCATCAAGTTTTTATGTGGAGATATTTCCTTTCTAGCATCGACCCCTAAGCACTCCAAATATCCACTTACAGATCCTTCAAAAAGTGTGTTTCAAAACTGCTGAATCAAAAGAAAGGTTCAACTCTGTGAGTTGAATGCACATATCAGAAAGAAGTTTCTCAGAATGCTTCTGTCTCGTTTATATGTGAAGGTATTTCCTTTTCCGTCAAACTCATCAAAGCGTTCCAAATATTCACTTGCACATTCTACAAAAAGAGTGTATCAAATCTGCTCAAGGAAAAGAATGGTTCAATTTGGTGAGATAAATGAACACATCACGAGGAAGTTTTGCAGAATGCTTCTGTCTAGTTTTTCTGTGAAAATATTGCCTTTACTACCATAGGACACAATCGCTCCAAATATCTATTTCAGATTCAAAAAAAAGGGTGTTTCAATATTGCTCGATGAAAGGAAAGATTCAACCCGGTGAGATGAACGCACATATCACAAAGAAGTTTCTCAGAAAGCTTCTGTCTAGCTTTTATGTGAAGATATTTCCTTTTAAACCATAGGCCACAATTCGCTCCAAATATCCACTTGCAGATTTATCAAAAAGACTGTTTCAAAACCCTCAATCAAAAGAAAGTTTCAACACTGTGAGATGAATGCACACACTAAAAAGAAGTTTCTCCGAATGCTTCTGTCTAGTTTTTATGTGAAGATATTTCCTTTTCCACCACAGGCCTGAAAGCACTCCAAATATTCACTTGCAGATTCTACAAAAAGAGTATTTCAAAACAGCTCCATCAAAAGAATGGTTCCGCTTGGTGAGATGAATGCACACATCACAAAGAAGTTTCTCAGAGTGCTTCTGTCTAGTTTTTATGTGAAGATATTTCCTTTTCCACCAGAGACCACAAATCGCTTCAAATACCCACTTGCATATACAACAAAAAGAGTGTTTAAAAACTGCTCAATCAAAAGAAAGGTTCAACTCTGTGAGATGAAGGCACTTATCACAGAGAAGTTTCTCAGAATGCTTCTGTCTAGTTTATATGTGAAGATATTTCCTTTTCCACGATAGACCTCAAACCGCTTCAAATATCCATTTACAGATACTACAAAAAGAGTGTTTCAAAACTGTTCAATCAAAAGAAAGGTTCAAATCTGTGAGTTGAATGCACAGATCGCCAAAAATTTCTCAGAATGCTTCTGTCTACTATTTATGTGAAGGTATTTCCTTTTCCAAAATATGCCCCAAAGCGCTCCTATTATCCACAGGCAGATTCTACAAAAAGAGTGTCTCAAAACTTCTCAATCAAAAGAAAATTTCAACCCTGTGAGATGAATGCAAACATCACAAAGAAGTTTCTCAGAATGCTTCTGTCTAGTTTTTAAGTGAAGATATTTCCTTTTCCTCCATAGGCGTCAAAGTGCTCCAAATATCCTCTAGCAGATTCTACAAAAAGAGTGTTTCAAAACTGCTTAATCAAAAGAAATGTTCAACTCTGTGAGAGGAATGCACACATCACAAATAAGTTTCTCAGAATGTTTCCTCTAGTTTTTATGTGAAGATATTTCCTTTTCCACCATAGTCCTCAAAGCGCTCCAAATATCCACTGGCCAATTCTCCAAAAAGAGCATTTCAAAACTGCTCAATCAAAAGAAATTTTCAAATCTGTGAGATGAATGTGCACATCACAAAGAAGTTTCTCAGAATGCTTCCGTGTAGCTTTTATGTGCATTTATTCCCTTTTCCACAATAGGCCTCAAGTGGCTCCAAATGTCCACTTGCAGATTCTACAAAAAGAGAGTTTCAAAACTGCTCAGTCAAAAGAAATGTTAAACTCTCTCTGATGAATGCACACATCACAAAGAAGTTTCTCAGAATGCTTCCATCTAGTTTTTATGTGGAGATATTTCCTTTTCCGCCATCGGCCCCTAAGCACTCCAAATATCCACTTATAGATTCTTCAAAAAGCGTGTTTCAAAACTGCTGAATCAAAAGAAAGGTTCAACTCTGTGAGTTGAATGCACATATCAGAGAAAAGTTTCTCAGAATGCTTCTATCTAGTTTATATGTGAAGGTATTTCCTTTTCCATCATACTCATCAAAGCGTTCCAAATATTCACTTGCACATTCTACAAAAAGAGTGTATCAAATCTGCTCAGTGAAAAGAATGGTTCAATTTGGTGAGATAAATGAACACATCATGAGGAAGTTTCGCAGAATGCTTCTGTCTAGTTTTTCTGTGAAAATATTGCCTTTACTACCATAGGACACAATCGCTCCAAATATCTACTTTCAGATTCTACAAAAAGGGTGTTTCAATACTGCTCGATGAAAGGAAAGATTCAACCTGGTGAGATGAACGCACACATCACAAAGAAGTTTCTCAGAAGGCTTCTGTCTAGTTTTTATGTGAAGATATTTCCTTTTACACCATAGGCCACAATTCGCTCCAAATATCCACTTGCAGATTCATCAAAAAGACTGTTTCAAAACCCTCAATCAAAAGAAAGTTTCAACACTGTGAGATGAATGCACACATCACAAAGAAGTTTCTCAGAGTGCTTCTGTCTAGTTTTTATGTGAAGATATTTCCTTTTCCACCACAGGCCTGAAAGCACTCCAAATATTCACTTGCAGATTCTACAAAAAGAGTATTTCAAAACAGCTCCATCAAAAGAATGGTTCCGCTTGGTGAGATGAATGCACACATCACAAAGAAGTTTCTCAGAGTGCTTCTGTCTAGTTTTTACGTGAAGATATTTCCTTTTCCACCATAGACCACAAATCGCTCCAAATATCCACTTGCATATACAACAAAAAGAGTGTTTCAAAACTGCTCAATCAAAAGAAAGGTTCAACTCTGTGAGATGAATGCACACATCACAAAGTAGTTTCTCAGATTGCTTCTGTCTAGTTTTTATGTGAAGATATTTATTTTCCACCATAGGCCGCAAAGCGCTCCAAATATTCACTTGCAGATTCTAGAAAAAGAGTGTTTCAAAAGGCTAAATGAAAAGAAAGGTTCAACTCTGTGATATATATGCACACGTCACAAAGAAGTTTCTCAGAATGCTTCTGTCTACTATTTATGTGAAGGTATTTCCTTTTCCAAAATATGCCCCAAAGCGCTCCTATTATCCACAGGCAGATTCTACAAAAAGAGTGTCTCAAAACTTCTCAATCAAAAGAAAATTTCAACCCTGTGAGATGAATGCAAACATCACAAAGAAGTTTCTCAGAATGCTTCTGTCTAGTTTTTAAGTGAAGATATTTCCTTTTCCTCCATAGGCCTCAAAGCGCTCCAAATATCCTCTAGCAGATTCCACAAAAGGGTGTTTCAAAACTGCTTAATCAAAAGAAATGTTCAACTCTGTGAGAGGAATGCACACATCACAAATAAGTTTCTCAGAATGTTTCCTCTAGTTTTTATGTGAAGATATTTCCTTTTCCACCATAGTCCTCAAAGTGCTCCAAATATCCACTGGCTGATTCTCCGAAAAGAGCATTTCAAAACTGCTCAATCAAAAGAAATTTTCAATCTGTGAGATGAATGTGCACATCACAAAGAAGTTTGTCAGAATGCTTCCGTGTAGCTTTTATGTGAATTTATTCCCTTTTCCACAATAGGCCTCAAGTGGCTCCAAATGTCCACTTGCAGATTCTACAAAAAGAGAGTTTCAAAACTGCTCAGTCAAAAGAAATGTTAAACTCTCTCTGATGAATGCACACATCACAAAGAAGTTTCTCAGAATGCTTCCATCAAGTTTTTATGTGGAGATATTTCCTTTCTAGCATCGACCCCTAAGCACTCCAAATATCCACTTACAGATCCTTCAAAAAGTGTGTTTCAAAACTGCTGAATCAAAAGAAAGGTTCAACTCTGTGAGTTGAATGCACATATCAGAAAGAAGTTTCTCAGAATGCTTCTGTCTCGTTTATATGTGAAGGTATTTCCTTTTCCGTCAAACTCATCAAAGCGTTCCAAATATTCACTTGCACATTCTACAAAAAGAGTGTATCAAATCTGCTCAAGGAAAAGAATGGTTCAATTTGGTGAGATAAATGAACACATCACGAGGAAGTTTTGCAGAATGCTTCTGTCTAGTTTTTCTGTGAAAATATTGCCTTTACTACCATAGGACACAATCGCTCCAAATATCTATTTCAGATTCAAAAAAAAGGGTGTTTCAATATTGCTCGATGAAAGGAAAGATTCAACCCGGTGAGATGAACGCACATATCACAAAGAAGTTTCTCAGAAAGCTTCTGTCTAGCTTTTATGTGAAGATATTTCCTTTTAAACCATAGGCCACAATTCGCTCCAAATATCCACTTGCAGATTTATCAAAAAGACTGTTTCAAAACCCTCAATCAAAAGAAAGTTTCAACACTGTGAGATGAATGCACACACTAAAAAGAAGTTTCTCCGAATGCTTCTGTCTAGTTTTTATGTGAAGATATTCCCTTTTCCACCACAGGCCTGAAAGCACTCCAAATATTCACTTGCAGATTCTACAAAAAGAGTATTTCAAAACAGCTCCATCAAAAGAATGGTTCCGCTTGGTGAGATGAATGCACACATCACAAAGAAGTTTCTCAGAGTGCTTCTGTCTAGTTTTTACGTGAAGATATTTCCTTTTCCACCATAGACCACAAATCGCTCCAAATATCCACTTGCATATACAACAAAAAGAGTGTTTCAAAACTGCTCAATCAAAAGAAAGGTTCACCTCTGTGAGATGAATGCACACATCACAAAGTAGTTTCTCAGATTGCTTCTGTCTAGTTTTTATGTGAAGATATTTATTTTCCACCATAGGCCGCAAAGCGCTCCAAATATTCACTTGCAGATTCTAGAAAAAGAGTGTTTCAAAAGGCTAAATGAAAAGAAAGGTTCAACTCTGTGATATATATGCACACGTCACAAAGAACTTTCTCAGAATGCTTCTGTCTACTATTTATGTGAAGGTATTTCCTTTTCCAAAATATGCCCCACAGCGCTCCTATTATCCACAGGCAGATTCTACAAAAAGAGTGTCTCAAAACTTCTCAATCAAAAGAAAATTTCAACCCTGTGAGATGAATGCAAACATCACAAAGAAGTTTCTCAGAATGCTTCTGTCTAGTTTTTAAGTGAAGATATTTCCTTTTCCTCCATAGGCCTCAAAGCGCTCCAAATATCCTCTAGCAGATTCCACAAAAGGGTGTTTCAAAACTGCTTAATCAAAAGAAATGTTCAACTCTGTGAGAGGAATGCACACATCACAAATAAGTTTCTCAGAATGTTTCCTCTAGTTTTTATGTGAAGATATTTCCTTTTCCACCATAGTCCTCAAAGTGCTCCAAATATCCACTGGCTGATTCTCCGAAAAGAGCATTTCAAAACTGCTCAATCAAAAGAAATTTTCAATCTGTGAGATGAATGTGCACATCACAAAGAAGTTTGTCAGAATGCTTCCGTGTAGCTTTTATGTGCATTTATTCCCTTTTCCACAATAGGCCTCAAGTGGCTCCAAATGTCCACTTGCAGATTCTACAAAAAGAGAGTTTCAAAACTGCTCAGTCAAAAGAAATGTTAAACTCTCTCTGATGAATGCACACATCACAAAGAAGTTTCTCAGAATGCTTCCATCAAGTTTTTATGTGGAGATATTTCCTTTCTAGCATCGACCCCTAAGCACTCCAAATATCCACTTACAGATCCTTCAAAAAGTGTGTTTCAAAACTGCTGAATCAAAAGAAAGGTTCAACTCTGTGAGTTGAATGCACATATCAGAAAGAAGTTTCTCAGAATGCTTCTGTCTCGTTTATATGTGAAGGTATTTCCTTTTCCGTCAAACTCATCAAAGCGTTCCAAATATTCACTTGCACATTCTACAAAAAGAGTGTATCAAATCTGCTCAAGGAAAAGAATGGTTCAATTTGGTGAGATAAATGAACACATCACGAGGAAGTTTTGCAGAATGCTTCTGTCTAGTTTTTCTGTGAAAATATTGCCTTTACTACCATAGGACACAATCGCTCCAAATATCTATTTCAGATTCAAAAAAAAGGGTGTTTCAATATTGCTCGATGAAAGGAAAGATTCAACCCGGTGAGATGAACGCACATATCACAAAGAAGTTTCTCAGAAAGCTTCTGTCTAGCTTTTATGTGAAGATATTTCCTTTTAAACCATAGGCCACAATTCGCTCCAAATATCCACTTGCAGATTTATCAAAAAGACTGTTTCAAAACCCTCAATCAAAAGAAAGTTTCAACACTGTGAGATGAATGCACACACTAAAAAGAAGTTTCTCCGAATGCTTCTGTCTAGTTTTTATGTGAAGATATTCCCTTTTCCACCACAGGCCTGAAAGCACTCCAAATATTCACTTGCAGATTCTACAAAAAGAGTATTTCAAAACAGCTCCATCAAAAGAATGGTTCCGCTTGGTGAGATGAATGCACACATCACAAAGAAGTTTCTCAGAGTGCTGCTGTCTAGTTTTTATGTGAAGATGTTTCATTTTCCACCATACGCCTCAAAGCGCTCTAAATATCCACTTGCAGATTCCTCAAAAAGAGTGTTTCAAAACAGCTCAATCAAAAGAAAGGTTCAACTCTGTGAGATGAATGCACACATTACAAAGAAGTTTATCAGAATGCTTCTGTCTAGTTTTTATGTGAAGATATTTATTTTCCACCATAGGCCGCAAAGCGCTCCAAATATTCACTTGCAGATTCTAGAAAAAGAGTGTTTCAAAAGGCTAAATGAAAAGAAAGGTTCAACTCTGTGATATATATGCACACGTCACAAAGAAGTTTCTCAGAATGCTTCTGTCTACTATTTATGTGAAGGTATTTCCTTTTCCAAAATATGCCCCAAAGCGCTCCTATTATCCACAGGCAGATTCTACAAAAAGAGTGTCTCAAAACTTCTCAATCAAAAGAAAATTTCAACCCTGTGAGATGAATGCAAACATCACAAAGAAGTTTCTCAGAATGCTTCTGTCTAGTTTTTAAGTGAAGATATTTCCTTTTCCTCCATAGGCCTCAAAGCGCTCCAAATATCCTCTAGCAGATTCCACAAAAGGGTGTTTCAAAACTGCTTAATCAAAAGAAATGTTCAACTCTGTGAGAGGAATGCACACATCACAAATAAGTTTCTCAGAATGTTTCCTCTAGTTTTTATGTGAAGATATTTCCTTTTCCACCATAGTCCTCAAAGTGCTCCAAATATCCACTGGCTGATTCTCCGAAAAGAGCATTTCAAAACTGCTCAATCAAAAGAAATTTTCAATCTGTGAGATGAATGTGCACATCACAAAGAAGTTTGTCAGAATGCTTCCGTGTAGCTTTTATGTGCATTTATTCCCTTTTCCACAATAGGCCTCAAGTGGCTCCAAATGTCCACTTGCAGATTCTACAAAAAGAGAGTTTCAAAACTGCTCAGTCAAAAGAAATGTTAAACTCTCTCTGATGAATGCACACATCACAAAGAAGTTTCTCAGAATGCTTCCATCAAGTTTTTATGTGGAGATATTTCCTTTCTAGCATCGACCCCTAAGCACTCCAAATATCCACTTACAGATCCTTCAAAAAGTGTGTTTCAAAACTGCTGAATCAAAAGAAAGGTTCAACTCTGTGAGTTGAATGCACATATCAGAAAGAAGTTTCTCAGAATGCTTCTGTCTCGTTTATATGTGAAGGTATTTCCTTTTCCGTCAAACTCATCAAAGCGTTCCAAATATTCACTTGCACATTCTACAAAAAGAGTGTATCAAATCTGCTCAAGGAAAAGAATGGTTCAATTTGGTGAGATAAATGAACACATCACGAGGAAGTTTTGCAGAATGCTTCTGTCTAGTTTTTCTGTGAAAATATTGCCTTTACTACCATAGGACACAATCGCTCCAAATATCTATTTCAGATTCAAAAAAAAGGGTGTTTCAATATTGCTCGATGAAAGGAAAGATTCAACCCGGTGAGATGAACGCACATATCACAAAGAAGTTTCTCAGAAAGCTTCTGTCTAGCTTTTATGTGAAGATATTTCCTTTTAAACCATAGGCCACAATTCGCTCCAAATATCCACTTGCAGATTTATCAAAAAGACTGTTTCAAAACCCTCAATCAAAAGAAAGTTTCAACACTGTGAGATGAATGCACACACTAAAAAGAAGTTTCTCCGAATGCTTCTGTCTAGTTTTTATGTGAAGATATTTCCTTTTCCACCACAGGCCTGAAAGCACTCCAAATATTCACTTGCAGATTCTACAAAAAGAGTATTTCAAAACAGCTCCATCAAAAGAATGGTTCCGCTTGGTGAGATGAATGCACACATCACAAAGAAGTTTCTCAGAGTGCTTCTGTCTAGTTTTTACGTGAAGATATTTCCTTTTCCACCATAGACCACAAATCGCTCCAAATATCCACTTGCATATACAACAAAAAGAGTGTTTCAAAACTGCTCAATCAAAAGAAAGGTTCAACTCTGTGAGATGAATGCACACATCACAAAGTAGTTTCTCAGATTGCTTCTGTCTAGTTTTTATGTGAAGATATTTATTTTCCACCATAGGCCGCAAAGCGCTCCAAATATTCACTTGCAGATTCTAGAAAAAGAGTGTTTCAAAAGGCTAAATGAAAAGAAAGGTTCAACTCTGTGATATATATGCACACGTCACAAAGAAGTTTCTCAGAATGCTTCTGTCTACTATTTATGTGAAGGTATTTCCTTTTCCAAAATATGCCCCAAAGCGCTCCTATTATCCACAGGCAGATTCTACAAAAAGAGTGTCTCAAAACTTCTCAATCAAAAGAAAATTTCAACCCTGTGAGATGAATGCAAACATCACAAAGAAGTTTCTCAGAATGCTTCTGTCTAGTTTTTAAGTGAAGATATTTCCTTTTCCTCCATAGGCCTCAAAGCGCTCCAAATATCCTCTAGCAGATTCCACAAAAGGGTGTTTCAAAACTGCTTAATCAAAAGAAATGTTCAACTCTGTGAGAGGAATGCACACATCACAAATAAGTTTCTCAGAATGTTTCCTCTAGTTTTTATGTGAAGATATTTCCTTTTCCACCATAGTCCTCAAAGTGCTCCAAATATCCACTGGCTGATTCTCCGAAAAGAGCATTTCAAAACTGCTCAATCAAAAGAAATTTTCAATCTGTGAGATGAATGTGCACATCACAAAGAAGTTTGTCAGAATGCTTCCGTGTAGCTTTTATGTGCATTTATTCCCTTTTCCACAATAGGCCTCAAGTGGCTCCAAATGTCCACTTGCAGATTCTACAAAAAGAGAGTTTCAAAACTGCTCAGTCAAAAGAAATGTTAAACTCTCTCTGATGAATGCACACATCACAAAGAAGTTTCTCAGAATGCTTCCATCAAGTTTTTATGTGGAGATATTTCCTTTCTAGCATCGACCCCTAAGCACTCCAAATATCCACTTACAGATCCTTCAAAAAGTGTGTTTCAAAACTGCTGAATCAAAAGAAAGGTTCAACTCTGTGAGTTGAATGCACATATCAGAAAGAAGTTTCTCAGAATGCTTCTGTCTCGTTTATATGTGAAGGTATTTCCTTTTCCGTCAAACTCATCAAAGCGTTCCAAATATTCACTTGCACATTCTACAAAAAGAGTGTATCAAATCTGCTCAAGGAAAAGAATGGTTCAATTTGGTGAGATAAATGAACACATCACGAGGAAGTTTTGCAGAATGCTTCTGTCTAGTTTTTCTGTGAAAATATTGCCTTTACTACCATAGGACACAATCGCTCCAAATATCTATTTCAGATTCAAAAAAAAGGGTGTTTCAATATTGCTCGATGAAAGGAAAGATTCAACCCGGTGAGATGAACGCACATATCACAAAGAAGTTTCTCAGAAAGCTTCTGTCTAGCTTTTATGTGAAGATATTTCCTTTTAAACCATAGGCCACAATTCGCTCCAAATATCCACTTGCAGATTTATCAAAAAGACTGTTTCAAAACCCTCAATCAAAAGAAAGTTTCAACACTGTGAGATGAATGCACACACTAAAAAGAAGTTTCTCCGAATGCTTCTGTCTAGTTTTTATGTGAAGATATTTCCTTTTCCACCACAGGCCTGAAAGCACTCCAAATATTCACTTGCAGATTCTACAAAAAGAGTATTTCAAAACAGCTCCATCAAAAGAATGGTTCCGCTTGGTGAGATGAATGCACACATCACAAAGAAGTTTCTCAGAGTGCTTCTGTCTAGTTTTTACGTGAAGATATTTCCTTTTCCACCATAGACCACAAATCGCTCCAAATATCCACTTGCATATACAACAAAAAGAGTGTTTCAAAACTGCTCAATCAAAAGAAAGGTTCAACTCTGTGAGATGAATGCACACATCACAAAGTAGTTTCTCAGATTGCTTCTGTCTAGTTTTTATGTGAAGATATTTATTTTCCACCATAGGCCGCAAAGCGCTCCAAATATTCACTTGCAGATTCTAGAAAAAGAGTGTTTCAAAAGGCTAAATGAAAAGAAAGGTTCAACTCTGTGATATATATGCACACGTCACAAAGAAGTTTCTCAGAATGCTTCTGTCTACTATTTATGTGAAGGTATTTCCTTTTCCAAAATATGCCCCAAAGCGCTCCTATTATCCACAGGCAGATTCTACAAAAAGAGTGTCTCAAAACTTCTCAATCAAAAGAAAATTTCAACCCTGTGAGATGAATGCAAACATCACAAAGAAGTTTCTCAGAATGCTTCTGTCTAGTTTTTAAGTGAAGATATTTCCTTTTCCTCCATAGGCCTCAAAGCGCTCCAAATATCCTCTAGCAGATTCCACAAAAGAGTGTTTCAAAACTGCTTAATCAAAAGAAATGTTCAACTCTGTGGGAGGAATGCACACATCACAAATAAGTTTCTCAGAATGTTTCCTCTAGTTTTTATGTGAAGATATTTCCTTTTCCACCATAGTCCTCAAAGCGCTCCAAATATCCACTGGCCGATTCTCCAAAAAGAGCATTTCAAAACTGCTCAATCAAAAGAAATTTTCAAATCTGTGAGATGAATGTGCACATCACAAAGAAGTTTCTCAGAATGCTTCTGTGTAGCTTTTATGTGAAGATATTCCATTTTCCACAATAGGCCTCAAGTGTCTCCAAAAGTCCACTTGCAGATTCTACAAAAAGAGAGTTTCAAAACTGCTCAGTCAAAAGAAAGGTTAAACTCTCTCTGATGAATGCACACATCACAAAGAAGTTTCTCAGAATGCTTCCATCTAGTTTTTATGTGGAGATATTTCCTTTTCCGCCATCGGCCCCTAAGCACTCCAAATATCCACTTATAGATTCTTCAAAAAGCATGTTTCAAAACTGCTGAATCAAAAGAAAGGTTCAACTCTGTGAGTTGAATGCACATATCAGAGAAAAGTTTCTCAGAATGCTTCTATCTAGTTTATATGTGAAGGTATTTCCTTTTCCATCATACTCATCAAAGCGTTCCAAATATTCACTTGCACATTCTACAAAAAGAGTGTATCAAATCTGCTCAGTGAAAAGAATGGTTCAATTTGGTGAGATAAATGAACACATCATGAGGAAGTTTCGCAGAATGCTTCTGTCTAGTTTTTCTGTGAAAATATTGCCTTTACTACCATAGGACACAATCGCTCCAAATATCTACTTTCAGATTCTACAAAAAGGGTGTTTCAATACTGCTCGATGAAAGGAAAGATTCAACCTGGTGAGATGAACGCACACATCACAAAGAAGTTTCTCAGAAGGCTTCTGTCTAGTTTTTATGTGAAGATATTTCCTTTTACACCATAGGCCACAATTCGCTCCAAATATCCACTTGCAGATTCATCAAAAAGACTGTTTCAAAACCCTCAATCAAAAGAAAGTTTCAACACTGTGAGATGAATGCACACATCACAAAGAAGTTTCTCAGAGTGCTTCTGTCTAGTTTTTATGTGAAGATATTTCCTTTTCCACCAGAGACCACAAATCGCTCCAAATACCCACTTGCATATACAACAAAAAGAGTGTTTCAAAACTGCTCAATCAAAAGAAAGGTTCAACTCTGTGAGATGAAGGCACTTATCACAGAGAAGTTTCTCAGAATGCTTCTGTCTAGTTTTTATGTGAAGATATTTCCTTTTCCACCACAGAACCTGAAAGCACTCCAAATATCCACTTGCAGATCCTACAAAAAGAGTATTTCAAAACAGCTCCATCAAAAGAATGGTTCAACTTGGTGAGATGAATGCACACATCACAAAGAAGTTTCTCAGAGTGTTGCTGTCTAGTTTTTACGTGAATATGTTTCATTTTCCACCATAAGCCTCAAAGCGCTCCAAATATCCACTTGCAGATTATACAAAAAGAGTGTTTCAAAAAAGCTCAATCAAAAGAAAGGTTCAACTCTGTGAGATGAATGCACACATCACAAAGTAGTTTCTCAGATTGCTTCTGTCTAGTTTTTATGTGAAGATATTTATTTTCCACCATAGGCCGCAAAGCGCTCCAAATATTCACTTGCAGATTCTAGAAAAAGAGTGTTTCAAAAGGCTAAATGAAAAGAAAGGTTCAACTCTGTGATATATATGCACACGTCACAAAGAAGTTTCTCAGAATGCTTCTGTCTACTATTTATGTGAAGGTATTTCCTTTTCCAAAATATGCCCCAAAGCGCTCCTATTATCCACAGGCAGATTCTACAAAAAGAGTGTCTCAAAACTTCTCAATCAAAAGAAAATTTCAACCCTGTGAGATGAATGCAAACATCACAAAGAAGTGTCTCAGAATGCTTCTGTCTAGTTTTTAAGTGAAGATATTTCCTTTTCCTCCATAGGCCTCAAAGCGCTCCAAATATCCTCTAGCAGATTCCACAAAAGAGTGTTTCAAAACTGCTTAATCAAAAGAAATGTTCAACTCTGTGAGAGGAATGCACACATCACAAATAAGTTTCTCAGAATGTTTCCTCTAGTTTTTATGTGAAGATATTTCCTTTTCCACCATAGTCCTCAAAGTGCTCCAAATATCCACTGGCTGATTCTCCGAAAAGAGCATTTCAAAACTGCTCAATCAAAAGAAATTTTCAATCTGTGAGATGAATGTGCACATCACAAAGAAGTTTGTCAGAATGCTTCCGTGTAGCTTTTATGTGCATTTATTCCCTTTTCCACAATAGGCCTCAAGTGGCTCCAAATGTCCACTTGCAGATTCTACAAAAAGAGAGTTTCAAAACTGCTCAGTCAAAAGAAATGTTAAACTCTCTCTGATGAATGCACACATCACAAAGAAGTTTCTCAGAATGCTTCCATCAAGTTTTTATGTGGAGATATTTCCTTTCTAGCATCGACCCCTAAGCACTCCAAATATCCACTTACAGATCCTTCAAAAAGTGTGTTTCAAAACTGCTGAATCAAAAGAAAGGTTCAACTCTGTGAGTTGAATGCACATATCAGAAAGAAGTTTCTCAGAATGCTTCTGTCTCGTTTATATGTGAAGGTATTTCCTTTTCCGTCAAACTCATCAAAGCGTTCCAAATATTCACTTGCACATTCTACAAAAAGAGTGTATCAAATCTGCTCAAGGAAAAGAATGGTTCAATTTGGTGAGATAAATGAACACATCACGAGGAAGTTTTGCAGAATGCTTCTGTCTAGTTTTTCTGTGAAAATATTGCCTTTACTACCATAGGACACAATCGCTCCAAATATCTATTTCAGATTCAAAAAAAAGGGTGTTTCAATATTGCTCGATGAAAGGAAAGATTCAACCCGGTGAGATGAACGCACATATCACAAAGAAGTTTCTCAGAAAGCTTCTGTCTAGCTTTTATGTGAAGATATTTCCTTTTAAACCATAGGCCACAATTCGCTCCAAATATCCACTTGCAGATTTATCAAAAAGACTGTTTCAAAACCCTCAATCAAAAGAAAGTTTCAACACTGTGAGATGAATGCACACACTAAAAAGAAGTTTCTCCGAATGCTTCTGTCTAGTTTTTATGTGAAGATATTCCCTTTTCCACCACAGGCCTGAAAGCACTCCAAATATTCACTTGCAGATTCTACAAAAAGAGTATTTCAAAACAGCTCCATCAAAAGAATGGTTCCGCTTGGTGAGATGAATGCACACATCACAAAGAAGTTTCTCAGAGTGCTTCTGTCTAGTTTTTACGTGAAGATATTTCCTTTTCCACCATAGACCACAAATCGCTCCAAATATCCACTTGCATATACAACAAAAAGAGTGTTTCAAAACTGCTCAATCAAAAGAAAGGTTCACCTCTGTGAGATGAATGCACACATCACAAAGTAGTTTCTCAGATTGCTTCTGTCTAGTTTTTATGTGAAGATATTTATTTTCCACCATAGGCCGCAAAGCGCTCCAAATATTCACTTGCAGATTCTAGAAAAAGAGTGTTTCAAAAGGCTAAATGAAAAGAAAGGTTCAACTCTGTGATATATATGCACACGTCACAAAGAAGTTTCTCAGAATGCTTCTGTCTACTATTTATGTGAAGGTATTTCCTTTTCCAAAATATGCCCCAAAGCGCTCCTATTATCCACAGGCAGATTCTACAAAAAGAGTGTCTCAAAACTTCTCAATCAAAAGAAAATTTCAACCCTGTGAGATGAATGCAAACATCACAAAGAAGTCTCTCAGAATGCTTCTGTCTAGTTTTTAAGTGAAGATATTTCCTTTTCCTCCATAGGCCTCAAAGCGCTCCAAATATCCTCTAGCAGATTCCACAAAAGGGTGTTTCAAAACTGCTTAATCAAAAGAAATGTTCAACTCTGTGAGAGGAATGCACACATCACAAATAAGTTTCTCAGAATGTTTCCTCTAGTTTTTATGTGAAGATATTTCCTTTTCCACCATAGTCCTCAAAGTGCTCCAAATATCCACTGGCTGATTCTCCGAAAAGAGCATTTCAAAACTGCTCAATCAAAAGAAATTTTCAATCTGTGAGATGAATGTGCACATCACAAAGAAGTTTGTCAGAATGCTTCCGTGTAGCTTTTATGTGCATTTATTCCCTTTTCCACAATAGGCCTCAAGTGGCTCCAAATGTCCACTTGCAGATTCTACAAAAAGAGAGTTTCAAAACTGCTCAGTCAAAAGAAATGTTAAACTCTCTCTGATGAATGCACACATCACAAAGAAGTTTCTCAGAATGCTTCCATCAAGTTTTTATGTGGAGATATTTCCTTTCTAGCATCGACCCCTAAGCACTCCAAATATCCACTTACAGATCCTTCAAAAAGTGTGTTTCAAAACTGCTGAATCAAAAGAAAGGTTCAACTCTGTGAGTTGAATGCACATATCAGAAAGAAGTTTCTCAGAATGCTTCTGTCTCGTTTATATGTGAAGGTATTTCCTTTTCCGTCAAACTCATCAAAGCGTTCCAAATATTCACTTGCACATTCTACAAAAAGAGTGTATCAAATCTGCTCAAGGAAAAGAATGGTTCAATTTGGTGAGATAAATGAACACATCACGAGGAAGTTTTGCAGAATGCTTCTGTCTAGTTTTTCTGTGAAAATATTGCCTTTACTACCATAGGACACAATCGCTCCAAATATCTATTTCAGATTCAAAAAAAAGGGTGTTTCAATATTGCTCGATGAAAGGAAAGATTCAACCCGGTGAGATGAACGCACATATCACAAAGAAGTTTCTCAGAAAGCTTCTGTCTAGCTTTTATGTGAAGATATTTCCTTTTAAACCATAGGCCACAATTCGCTCCAAATATCCACTTGCAGATTTATCAAAAAGACTGTTTCAAAACCCTCAATCAAAAGAAAGTTTCAACACTGTGAGATGAATGCACACACTAAAAAGAAGTTTCTCCGAATGCTTCTGTCTAGTTTTTATGTGAAGATATTTCCTTTTCCACCACAGGCCTGAAAGCACTCCAAATATTCACTTGCAGATTCTACAAAAAGAGTATTTCAAAACAGCTCCATCAAAAGAATGGTTCCGCTTGGTGAGATGAATGCACACATCACAAAGAAGTTTCTCAGAGTGCTTCTGTCTAGTTTTTACGTGAAGATATTTCCTTTTCCACCATAGACCACAAATCGCTCCAAATATCCACTTGCATATACAACAAAAAGAGTGTTTCAAAACTGCTCAATCAAAAGAAAGGTTCAACTCTGTGAGATGAATGCACACATCACAAAGTAGTTTCTCAGATTGCTTCTGTCTAGTTTTTATGTGAAGATATTTATTTTCCACCATAGGCCGCAAAGCGCTCCAAATATTCACTTGCAGATTCTAGAAAAAGAGTGTTTCAAAAGGCTAAATGAAAAGAAAGGTTCAACTCTGTGATATATATGCACACGTCACAAAGAAGTTTCTCAGAATGCTTCTGTCTACTATTTATGTGAAGGTATTTCCTTTTCCAAAATATGCCCCAAAGCGCTCCTATTATCCACAGGCAGATTCTACAAAAAGAGTGTCTCAAAACTTCTCAATCGAAAGAAAATTTCAACCCTGTGAGATGAATGCAAACATCACAAAGAAGTTTCTCAGAATGCTTCTGTCTAGTTTTTAAGTGAAGATATTTCCTTTTCCTCCATAGGCCTCAAAGCGCTCCAAATATCCTCTAGCAGATTCCACAAAAGAGTGTTTCAAAACTGCTTAATCAAAAGAAATGTTCAACTCTGTGAGAGGAATGCACACATCACAAATAAGTTTCTCAGAATGTTTCCTCTAGTTTTTATGTGAAGATATTTCCTTTTCCACCATAGTCCTCAAAGTGCTCCAAATATCCACTGGCTGATTCTCCGAAAAGAGCATTTCAAAACTGCTCAATCAAAAGAAATTTTCAATCTGTGAGATGAATGTGCACATCACAAAGAAGTTTGTCAGAATGCTTCCGTGTAGCTTTTATGTGCATTTATTCCCTTTTCCACAATAGGCCTCAAGTGGCTCCAAATGTCCACTTGCAGATTCTACAAAAAGAGAGTTTCAAAATTGCTCAGTCAAAAGAAATGTTAAACTCTCTCTGATGAATGCACACATCACAAAGAAGTTTCTCAGAATGCTTCCATCAAGTTTTTATGTGGAGATATTTCCTTTCTAGCATCGACCCCTAAGCACTCCAAATATCCACTTACAGATCCTTCAAAAAGTGTGTTTCAAAACTGCTGAATCAAAAGAAAGGTTCAACTCTGTGAGTTGAATGCACATATCAGAAAGAAGTTTCTCAGAATGCTTCTGTCTCGTTTATATGTGAAGGTATTTCCTTTTCCGTCAAACTCATCAAAGCGTTCCAAATATTCACTTGCACATTCTACAAAAAGAGTGTATCAAATCTGCTCAAGGAAAAGAATGGTTCAATTTGGTGAGATAAATGAACACATCACGAGGAAGTTTTGCAGAATGCTTCTGTCTAGTTTTTCTGTGAAAATATTGCCTTTACTACCATAGGACACAATCGCTCCAAATATCTATTTCAGATTCAAAGAAAAGGGTGTTTCAATATTGCTCGATGAAAGGAAAGATTCAACCCGGTGAGATGAACGCACATATCACAAAGAAGTTTCTCAGAAAGCTTCTGTCTAGCTTTTATGTGAAGATATTTCCTTTTAAACCATAGGCCACAATTCGCTCCAAATATCCACTTGCAGATTTATCAAAAAGACTGTTTCAAAACCCTCAATCAAAAGAAAGTTTCAACACTGTGAGATGAATGCACACACTAAAAAGAAGTTTCTCCGAATGCTTCTGTCTAGTTTTTATGTGAAGATATTTCCTTTTCCACCACAGACCTGAAAGCACTCCAAATATCCACTTGCAGATTCTACAAAAAGAGTATTTCAAAACAGCTCCATCAAAAGAATGGTTCATCTTGGTGAGATGAATGCACACATCACAAAGAAGTTTCTCAGAGTGTTTCTGTCTAGTTTTTATGTGAAGATATTTCCTTTTCCACCACAGACCACAAATCGCTCCAAATAGCCACTTGCATATACAACAAAAAGAGTGTTTCAAAACTGCTCAATCAAAAGAAAGGTTCAACTCTGTGAGATGAAGGCACTTATCACAGAGAAGTTTCTCAGAATGCTTCTGTCTAGTTTATATGTGAAGATATTTCCTTTTCCAAGATAGACCTCAAACCGCTTCAAATATCCATTTACAGATACTACAAAAAGAGTGTTTCAAAACTGTTCAATCAAAAGAAAGGTTCAAATCTGTGAGTTGAATGCACAGATCACCAAAAGTTTCTCAGAATGCT
>NC_000020.11:28696226-28697758 GCF_000001405.40 Homo sapiens | reverse complement strand
TCCTCCCACCCCACAAACATCCCCAGAGTGTGATGTTCCCCTTCCTGTGTCCATGTGATCTCATTTTTCAATTCCCACCTATGAGTGAGAATATGCGGTGTTTGGTTTTTTGTTTTGCGATAGTTTACTGAGAATGATGACTTCCAATTTCATCCATGTCCCTAAAAAGGATATGAACTCATCATTTTTTATGGCTGCATAGTATTCCATGGTGCATATAGACTGGATTAAGAAGATTTAGCAGTTTTTAAAAAATCTTTTGTAGTGTTTGCAAGGGGATATTTGGAGCGTTTTGGGGCCTATTGTGGAAAAGGAACTATCTTCACATAAAAACTAGACAGATCTGTCTAGTTTTTAAGTGAAGATATTTCCTTTTCCTCCATAGGCCTCAAAGCGCTCCAAATATCCTCTAGCAGATTCCACAAAAGGGTGTTTCAAAACTGCTTAATCAAAAGAAATGTTCAACTCTGTGAGAGGAATGCACACATCACAAATAAGTTTCTCAGAATGTTTCCTCTAGTTTTTATGTGAAGATATTTCCTTTTCCACCATAGTCCTCAAAGTGCTCCAAATATCCACTGGCTGATTCTCCGAAAAGAGCATTTCAAAACTGCTCAATCAAAAGAAATTTTCAATCTGTGAGATGAATGTGCACATCACAAAGAAGTTTGTCAGAATGCTTCCGTGTAGCTTTTATGTGAATTTATTCCCTTTTCCACAATAGGCCTCAAGTGGCTCCAAATGTCCACTTGCAGATTCTACAAAAAGAGAGTTTCAAAACTGCTCAGTCAAAAGAAATGTTAAACTCTCTCTGATGAATGCACACATCACAAAGAAGTTTCTCAGAATGCTTCCATCAAGTTTTTATGTGGAGATATTTCCTTTCTAGCATCGACCCCTAAGCACTCCAAATATCCACTTACAGATCCTTCAAAAAGTGTGTTTCAAAACTGCTGAATCAAAAGAAAGGTTCAACTCTGTGAGTTGAATGCACATATCAGAAAGAAGTTTCTCAGAATGCTTCTGTCTCGTTTATATGTGAAGGTATTTCCTTTTCCGTCAAACTCATCAAAGCGTTCCAAATATTCACTTGCACATTCTACAAAAAGAGTGTATCAAATCTGCTCAAGGAAAAGAATGGTTCAATTTGGTGAGATAAATGAACACATCACGAGGAAGTTTTGCAGAATGCTTCTGTCTAGTTTTTCTGTGAAAATATTGCCTTTACTACCATAGGACACAATCGCTCCAAATATCTATTTCAGATTCAAAAAAAAGGGTGTTTCAATATTGCTCGATGAAAGGAAAGATTCAACCCGGTGAGATGAACGCACATATCACAAAGAAGTTTCTCAGAAAGCTTCTGTCTAGCTTTTATGTGAAGATATTTCCTTTTAAACCATAGGCCACAATTCGCTCCAAATATCCACTTGCAGATTTATCAAAAAGACTGTTTCAAAACCCTCAATCAAAAGAAAGTTTCAACACTGTGAGATGAATGCACACACTAAAAAGAAGTTTCTCCGAATGCT
>NC_000020.11:28688621-28696126 GCF_000001405.40 Homo sapiens | reverse complement strand
GGACAAGGAGAACTAATACAAAAATGAGGCTTTTGCCTCCAGGTAGACAGTAAATAGTAGGTTTGTTTTCATACTTCAGTGCGTTATGCCTTCTACCAGCATCCATGAAAATGGAAGATTAATAGGTTTGTTTACAAATAGGATGAAATCTTAGATCCTTCACAATTATTTAATTTTGGAGATGACAATGGGATGCTGAGATAAACACAACTTTCTGAAAGGGGAAAATACACAAATACTTGAAGAGCTTGCAAAGGTTATGAGAAGTTCCCCTAGGACTAAGAGCAACTTCTCTCAGCCAAGTGGTTAGTTTGGTGAAACAAGGGATCAAGACTCTGCTGTCTGCTAATGAGACTGATCCTTGAGAGGATTATAACAATGAGCCTGAGAGCTTTGCATGTTCATTTTTCTCCTGCTGGAAAGAACAAGGAGCCTTAAAACTAATGTTGAGGCTTGGATGAGTCCAAAACACTAGAAGTTCACCTCTGTGACATGAATGCACATATCACAAAGAAGTTTCTCAGAATGCATCTGTCTAGTTTTTATGTGAAGATATTTCCTTTTCCACCATAGGAGGCAAAACGCTCCAAATATACACTTGCAGATGGTACAAAAAGAGTGTTTCAAAACTACTCGATCAAAAGAAAGGTTCAACTCTGTGAGATGAGTGCACACATCACAGAGAAGTTTCTCAGAATGCTTCTGTCTAGTTTATATGTGAAGGTATTTCCTTTTCCGTCATACTCATCAAAGCGTTCCAAATATTCACTTGCACATGCTACAAAAAGAGTGTATCAAATCTGCTCAATGAAAACAATGGTTCAATTTGGTGACATAAGTGAACACAACACGAGGAAGTTTTGCAGAATGCTTCTGTCTAGTTTTTCTGTGAAAATATTTCCTTTACTACCATAGGACACAATCGCTCCAAATATCTACTTTCAGATTCTACAAAAAGGGTGTTTCAATACTGCTCGATGAAAGGAAAGATTCAACCCAGTGAGATGAACGCACACATCACAAAGAAGTTTCTCAGAAGGCTTCTGTCTAGTTTTTATGTGAAGATATTTCCTTTTAAACCATAGGCCACAATTCGCTCCAAATATCCACTTGCAGTTGTATCAAAAAGACTGTTTCAAAACCCTCAATCAAAAGAAAGTTTCAACACTGTGAGATGAATGCACACATTACAAAGAAGTTTCTCAGAATACTTCTGTCTAGTTTTTATGTGAAGATATTTCCTTTTCCACCACAGACCTGAAAGCACTCCAAATATCCACTTGCAGATCCTACAAAAAGAGTATTTCAAAACAGCTC
Organism: Homo sapiens; assembly: GCF_000001405.40. NCBI lineage: Eukaryota > Metazoa > Chordata > Mammalia > Primates > Hominidae > Homo > Homo sapiens. The sequence goes on along the minus strand of NC_000020.11, from coordinate 28,694,809 downwards.
CATCAAAAGAATGGTTCAGCTTGGTGAGATGAATGCACACATCACAAAGAAGTTTCTCAGAGTGTTTCCTTCTAGTTTTTATGTGAAGATATTTCCTTTTCCACCATAGACCACAAATCGCTCCAAATACCCACTTGCATATACAACAAAAAGAGTGTTTCAAAACTGCTCAATCAAAAGAAAGGTTCAACTCTATGAGATGAAGGCACTTATCACAGAGAAGTTTCTCAGAATGCTTCTGTCTAGTTTTTATGTGAAGATATTTATTTTCCACCATAGGCCGCAAAGCGCTCCAAATATTCACTTGCAGATTCTAGAAAAAGAGTGTTTCAAAAGGCTAAATGAAAAGAAAGGTTCAACTCTGTGATATATATGCACACGTCACAAAGAAGTTTCTCAGAATGCTTCTGTCTACTATTTATGTGAAGGTATTTCCTTTTCCAAAATATGCCCCAAAGCGCTCCTATTATCCACAGGCAGATTCTACAAAAAGAGTGTCTCAAAACTTCTCAATCAAAAGAAAATTTCAACCCTGTGAGATGAATGCAAACATCACAAAGAAGTTTCTCAGAATGCTTCTGTCTAGTTTTTAAGTGAAGATATTTCCTTTTCCTCCATAGGCCTCAAAGCGCTCCAAATATCCTCTAGCAGATTCCACAAAAGAGTGTTTCAAAACTGCTTAATCAAAAGAAATGTTCAACTCTGTGAGAGGAATGCACACATCACAAATAAGTTTCTCAGAATGTTTCCTCTAGTTTTTATGTGAAGATATTTCCTTTTCCACCATAGTCCTCAAAGTGCTCCAAATATCCACTGGCTGATTCTCCGAAAAGAGCATTTCAAAACTGCTCAATCAAAAGAAATTTTCAATCTGTGAGATGAATGTGCACATCACAAAGAAGTTTGTCAGAATGCTTCCGTGTAGCTTTTATGTGCATTTATTCCCTTTTCCACAATAGGCCTCAAGTGGCTCCAAATGTCCACTTGCAGATTCTACAAAAAGAGAGTTTCAAAACTGCTCAGTCAAAAGAAATGTTAAACTCTCTCTGATGAATGCACACATCACAAAGAAGTTTCTCAGAATGCTTCCATCAAGTTTTTATGTGGAGATATTTCCTTTCTAGCATCGACCCCTAAGCACTCCAAATATCCACTTACAGATCCTTCAAAAAGTGTGTTTCAAAACTGCTGAATCAAAAGAAAGGTTCAACTCTGTGAGTTGAATGCACATATCAGAAAGAAGTTTCTCAGAATGCTTCTGTCTCGTTTATATGTGAAGGTATTTCCTTTTCCGTCAAACTCATCAAAGCGTTCCAAATATTCACTTGCACATTCTACAAAAAGAGTGTATCAAATCTGCTCAAGGAAAAGAATGGTTCAATTTGGTGAGATAAATGAACACATCACGAGGAAGTTTTGCAGAATGCTTCTGTCTAGTTTTTCTGTGAAAATATTGCCTTTACTACCATAGGACACAATCGCTCCAAATATCTATTTCAGATTCAAAGAAAAGGGTGTTTCAATATTGCTCGATGAAAGGAAAGATTCAACCCGGTGAGATGAACGCACATATCACAAAGAAGTTTCTCAGAAAGCTTCTGTCTAGCTTTTATGTGAAGATATTTCCTTTTAAACCATAGGCCACAATTCGCTCCAAATATCCACTTGCAGATTTATCAAAAAGACTGTTTCAAAACCCTCAATCAAAAGAAAGTTTCAACACTGTGAGATGAATGCACACACTAAAAAGAAGTTTCTCCGAATGCTTCTGTCTAGTTTTTATGTGAAGATATTTCCTTTTCCACCACAGGCCTGAAAGCACTCCAAATATTCACTTGCAGATTCTACAAAAAGAGTATTTCAAAACAGCTCCATCAAAAGAATGGTTCCGCTTGGTGAGATGAATGCACACATCACAAAGAAGTTTCTCAGAGTGCTTCTGTCTAGTTTTTACGTGAAGATATTTCCTTTTCCACCATAGACCACAAATCGCTCCAAATATCCACTTGCATATACAACAAAAAGAGTGTTTCAAAACTGCTCAATCAAAAGAAAGGTTCAACTCTGTGAGATGAATGCACACATCACAAAGTAGTTTCTCAGATTGCTTCTGTCTAGTTTTTATGTGAAGATATTTATTTTCCACCATAGGCCGCAAAGCGCTCCAAATATTCACTTGCAGATTCTAGAAAAAGAGTGTTTCAAAAGGCTAAATGAAAAGAAAGGTTCAACTCTGTGATATATATGCACACGTCACAAAGAAGTTTCTCAGAATGCTTCTGTCTACTATTTATGTGAAGGTATTTCCTTTTCCAAAATATGCCCCACAGCGCTCCTATTATCCACAGGCAGATTCTACAAAAAGAGTGTCTCAAAACTTCTCAATCGAAAGAAAATTTCAACCCTGTGAGATGAATGCAAACATCACAAAGAAGTTTCTCAGAATGCTTCTGTCTAGTTTTTAAGTGAAGATATTTCCTTTTCCTCCATAGGCCTCAAAGCGCTCCAAATATCCTCTAGCAGATTCCACAAAAGGGTGTTTCAAAACTGCTTAATCAAAAGAAATGTTCAACTCTGTGAGAGGAATGCACACATCACAAATAAGTTTCTCAGAATGTTTTCCTCTAGTTTTTATGTGAAGATATTTCCTTTTCCACCATAGTCCTCAAAGTGCTCCAAATATCCACTGGCTGATTCTCCGAAAAGAGCATTTCAAAACTGCTCAATCAAAAGAAATTTTCAATCTGTGAGATGAATGTGCACATCACAAAGAAGTTTGTCAGAATGCTTCCGTGTAGCTTTTATGTGCATTTATTCCCTTTTCCACAATAGGCCTCAAGTGGCTCCAAATGTCCACTTGCAGATTCTACAAAAAGAGAGTTTCAAAACTGCTCAGTCAAAAGAAATGTTAAACTCTCTCTGATGAATGCACACATCACAAAGAAGTTTCTCAGAATGCTTCCATCAAGTTTTTATGTGGAGATATTTCCTTTCTAGCATCGACCCCTAAGCACTCCAAATATCCACTTACAGATCCTTCAAAAAGTGTGTTTCAAAACTGCTGAATCAAAAGAAAGGTTCAACTCTGTGAGTTGAATGCACATATCAGAAAGAAGTTTCTCAGAATGCTTCTGTCTCGTTTATATGTGAAGGTATTTCCTTTTCCGTCAAACTCATCAAAGCGTTCCAAATATTCACTTGCACATTCTACAAAAAGAGTGTATCAAATCTGCTCAAGGAAAAGAATGGTTCAATTTGGTGAGATAAATGAACACATCACGAGGAAGTTTTGCAGAATGCTTCTGTCTAGTTTTTCTGTGAAAATATTGCCTTTACTACCATAGGACACAATCGCTCCAAATATCTATTTCAGATTCAAAGAAAAGGGTGTTTCAATATTGCTCGATGAAAGGAAAGATTCAACCCGGTGAGATGAACGCACATATCACAAAGAAGTTTCTCAGAAAGCTTCTGTCTAGCTTTTATGTGAAGATATTTCCTTTTAAACCATAGGCCACAATTCGCTCCAAATATCCACTTGCAGATTTATCAAAAAGACTGTTTCAAAACCCTCAATCAAAAGAAAGTTTCAACACTGTGAGATGAATGCACACACTAAAAAGAAGTTTCTCCGAATGCTTCTGTCTAGTTTTTATGTGAAGATATTTCCTTTTCCACCACAGGCCTGAAAGCACTCCAAATATTCACTTGCAGATTCTACAAAAAGAGTATTTCAAAACAGCTCCATCAAAAGAATGGTTCCGCTTGGTGAGATGAATGCACACATCACAAAGAAGTTTCTCAGAGTGCTTCTGTCTAGTTTTTACGTGAAGATATTTCCTTTTCCACCATAGACCACAAATCGCTCCAAATATCCACTTGCATATACAACAAAAAGAGTGTTTCAAAACTGCTCAATCAAAAGAAAGGTTCAACTCTGTGAGATGAATGCACACATCACAAAGTAGTTTCTCAGATTGCTTCTGTCTAGTTTTTATGTGAAGATATTTATTTTCCACCATAGGCCGCAAAGCGCTCCAAATATTCACTTGCAGATTCTAGAAAAAGAGTGTTTCAAAAGGCTAAATGAAAAGAAAGGTTCAACTCTGTGATATATATGCACACGTCACAAAGAAGTTTCTCAGAATGCTTCTGTCTACTATTTATGTGAAGGTATTTCCTTTTCCAAAATATGCCCCAAAGCGCTCCTATTATCCACAGGCAGATTCTACAAAAAGAGTGTCTCAAAACTTCTCAATCAAAAGAAAATTTCAACCCTGTGAGATGAATGCAAACATCACAAAGAAGTTTCTCAGAATGCTTCTGTCTAGTTTTTAAGTGAAGATATTTCCTTTTCCTCCATAGGCCTCAAAGCGCTCCAAATATCCTCTAGCAGATTCCACAAAAGGGTGTTTCAAAACTGCTTAATCAAAAGAAATGTTCAACTCTGTGAGAGGAATGCACACATCACAAATAAGTTTCTCAGAATGTTTCCTCTAGTTTTTATGTGAAGATATTTCCTTTTCCACCATAGTCCTCAAAGTGCTCCAAATATCCACTGGCTGATTCTCCGAAAAGAGCATTTCAAAACTGCTCAATCAAAAGAAATTTTCAATCTGTGAGATGAATGTGCACATCACAAAGAAGTTTGTCAGAATGCTTCCGTGTAGCTTTTATGTGCATTTATTCCCTTTTCCACAATAGGCCTCAAGTGGCTCCAAATGTCCACTTGCAGATTCTACAAAAAGAGAGTTTCAAAACTGCTCAGTCAAAAGAAATGTTAAACTCTCTCTGATGAATGCACACATCACAAAGAAGTTTCTCAGAATGCTTCCATCAAGTTTTTATGTGGAGATATTTCCTTTCTAGCATCGACCCCTAAGCACTCCAAATATCCACTTACAGATCCTTCAAAAAGTGTGTTTCAAAACTGCTGAATCAAAAGAAAGGTTCAACTCTGTGAGTTGAATGCACATATCAGAAAGAAGTTTCTCAGAATGCTTCTGTCTCGTTTATATGTGAAGGTATTTCCTTTTCCGTCAAACTCATCAAAGCGTTCCAAATATTCACTTGCACATTCTACAAAAAGAGTGTATCAAATCTGCTCAAGGAAAAGAATGGTTCAATTTGGTGAGATAAATGAACACATCACGAGGAAGTTTTGCAGAATGCTTCTGTCTAGTTTTTCTGTGAAAATATTGCCTTTACTACCATAGGACACAATCGCTCCAAATATCTATTTCAGATTCAAAAAAAAGGGTGTTTCAATATTGCTCGATGAAAGGAAAGATTCAACCCGGTGAGATGAACGCACATATCACAAAGAAGTTTCTCAGAAAGCTTCTGTCTAGCTTTTATGTGAAGATATTTCCTTTTAAACCATAGGCCACAATTCGCTCCAAATATCCACTTGCAGATTTATCAAAAAGACTGTTTCAAAACCCTCAATCAAAAGAAAGTTTCAACACTGTGAGATGAATGCACACACTAAAAAGAAGTTTCTCCGAATGCTTCTGTCTAGTTTTTATGTGAAGATATTTCCTTTTCCACCACAGGCCTGAAAGCACTCCAAATATTCACTTGCAGATTCTACAAAAAGAGTATTTCAAAACAGCTCCATCAAAAGAATGGTTCCGCTTGGTGAGATGAATGCACACATCACAAAGAAGTTTCTCAGAGTGCTTCTGTCTAGTTTTTACGTGAAGATATTTCCTTTTCCACCATAGACCACAAATCGCTCCAAATATCCACTTGCATATACAACAAAAAGAGTGTTTCAAAACTGCTCAATCAAAAGAAAGGTTCAACTCTGTGAGATGAATGCACACATCACAAAGTAGTTTCTCAGATTGCTCCCACAACAGTCCCCAGAGTGTGATGTTCCCTTCCTGTGTCCATGTGATCTCATTGTTCAATTCCCACCTATGAGTGAGAATATGCGGTGTTTGGTTTTTTGTTCTTGCGATAGTTTACTGAGAATGATGACTTCCAATTTCATCCATGTCCCTAAAAAGGTTATGAACTCATCACTTTTTATGGCTTCATAGTATTCCATGGTGTATATAGACTGGATTAAGAAGATTGAGCAGTTTTTAAAGCATCTTTTTGTAGTATCTGCAAGGGGATATTTGGAGCGTTTTGGGGCCTATTGTGGAAAAGGAACTATCTTCACATAAAAACTAGACAGA
>NC_000020.11:28681199-28688521 GCF_000001405.40 Homo sapiens | reverse complement strand
TCTGTCTACTATTTATGTGAAGGTATTTCCTTTTCCAAAATATGCCCCACAGCGCTCCTATTATCCACAGGCAGATTCTACAAAAAGAGTGTCTCAAAACTTCTCAATCAAAAGAAAATTTCAACCCTGTGAGATGAATGCAAACATCACAAAGAAGTTTCTCAGAATGCTTCTGTCTAGTTTTTAAGTGAAGATATTTCCTTTTCCTCCATAGGCCTCAAAGCGCTCCAAATATCCTCTAGCAGATTCCACAAAAGGGTGTTTCAAAACTGCTTAATCAAAAGAAATGTTCAACTCTGTGAGAGGAATGCACACATCACAAATAAGTTTCTCAGAATGTTTTCCTCTAGTTTTTATGTGAAGATATTTCCTTTTCCACCATAGTCCTCAAAGCGCTCCAAATATCCACTGGCCGATTCTCCAAAAAGAACATTTCAAAACTGCTCAATCAAAAGAAATTTTCAAATCTGTGAGAGGAATCTGTACATCACAAAGAAGTTTCTCAGAATGCTTCCGTGTAGCTTTTATGTGCATTTATTCCCTTTTCCACAATAGGCCTCAAGTGGCTCCAAATGTCCACTTGCAGATTCTACAAAAAGAGAGTTTCAAAACTGCTCAGTCAAAAGAAATGTTAAACTCTCTCTGATGAATGCACACATCACAAAGAAGTTTCTCAGAATGCTTCCATCAAGTTTTTATGTGGAGATATTTCCTTTCTAGCATCGACCCCTAAGCACTCCAAATATCCACTTACAGATCCTTCAAAAAGTGTGTTTCAAAACTGCTGAATCAAAAGAAAGGTTCAACTCTGTGAGTTGAATGCACATATCAGAAAGAAGTTTCTCAGAATGCTTCTGTCTCGTTTATATGTGAAGGTATTTCCTTTTCCGTCAAACTCATCAAAGCGTTCCAAATATTCACTTGCACATTCTACAAAAAGAGTGTATCAAATCTGCTCAAGGAAAAGAATGGTTCAATTTGGTGAGATAAATGAACACATCACGAGGAAGTTTTGCAGAATGCTTCTGTCTAGTTTTTCTGTGAAAATATTGCCTTTACTACCATAGGACACAATCGCTCCAAATATCTATTTCAGATTCAAAAAAAAGGGTGTTTCAATATTGCTCGATGAAAGGAAAGATTCAACCCGGTGAGATGAACGCACATATCACAAAGAAGTTTCTCAGAAAGCTTCTGTCTAGCTTTTATGTGAAGATATTTCCTTTTAAACCATAGGCCACAATTCGCTCCAAATATCCACTTGCAGATTTATCAAAAAGACTGTTTCAAAACCCTCAATCAAAAGAAAGTTTCAACACTGTGAGATGAATGCACACACTAAAAAGAAGTTTCTCCGAATGCTTCTGTCTAGTTTTTATGTGAAGATATTTCCTTTTCCACCACAGGCCTGAAAGCACTCCAAATATTCACTTGCAGATTCTACAAAAAGAGTATTTCAAAACAGCTCCATCAAAAGAATGGTTCCGCTTGGTGAGATGAATGCACACATCACAAAGAAGTTTCTCAGAGTGCTTCTGTCTAGTTTTTACGTGAAGATATTTCCTTTTCCACCATAGACCACAAATCGCTCCAAATATCCACTTGCATATACAACAAAAAGAGTGTTTCAAAACTGCTCAATCAAAAGAAAGGTTCAACTCTGTGAGATGAATGCACACATCACAAAGTAGTTTCTCAGATTGCTTCTGTCTAGTTTTTATGTGAAGATATTTATTTTCCACCATAGGCCGCAAAGCGCTCCAAATATTCACTTGCAGATTCTAGAAAAAGAGTGTTTCAAAAGGCTAAATGAAAAGAAAGGTTCAACTCTGTGATATATATGCACACGTCACAAAGAAGTTTCCTCAGAATGCTTCTGTCTACTATTTATGTGAAGGTATTTCCTTTTCCAAAATATGCCCCAAAGCGCTCCTATTATCCACAGGCAGATTCTACAAAAAGAGTGTCTCAAAACTTCTCAATCAAAAGAAAATTTCAACCCTGTGAGATGAATGCAAACATCACAAAGAAGTCTCTCAGAATGCTTCTGTCTAGTTTTTAAGTGAAGATATTTCCTTTTCCTCCATAGGCCTCAAAGCGCTCCAAATATCCTCTAGCAGATTCCACAAAAGGGTGTTTCAAAACTGCTTAATCAAAAGAAATGTTCAACTCTGTGAGAGGAATGCACACATCACAAATAAGTTTCTCAGAATGTTTCCTCTAGTTTTTATGTGAAGATATTTCCTTTTCCACCATAGTCCTCAAAGTGCTCCAAATATCCACTGGCTGATTCTCCGAAAAGAGCATTTCAAAACTGCTCAATCAAAAGAAATTTTCAATCTGTGAGATGAATGTGCACATCACAAAGAAGTTTGTCAGAATGCTTCCGTGTAGCTTTTATGTGCATTTATTCCCTTTTCCACAATAGGCCTCAAGTGGCTCCAAATGTCCACTTGCAGATTCTACAAAAAGAGAGTTTCAAAACTGCTCAGTCAAAAGAAATGTTAAACTCTCTCTGATGAATGCACACATCACAAAGAAGTTTCTCAGAATGCTTCCATCAAGTTTTTATGTGGAGATATTTCCTTTCTAGCATCGACCCCTAAGCACTCCAAATATCCACTTACAGATCCTTCAAAAAGTGTGTTTCAAAACTGCTGAATCAAAAGAAAGGTTCAACTCTGTGAGTTGAATGCACATATCAGAAAGAAGTTTCTCAGAATGCTTCTGTCTCGTTTATATGTGAAGGTATTTCCTTTTCCGTCAAACTCATCAAAGCGTTCCAAATATTCACTTGCACATTCTACAAAAAGAGTGTATCAAATCTGCTCAAGGAAAAGAATGGTTCAATTTGGTGAGATAAATGAACACATCACGAGGAAGTTTTGCAGAATGCTTCTGTCTAGTTTTTCTGTGAAAATATTGCCTTTACTACCATAGGACACAATCGCTCCAAATATCTATTTCAGATTCAAAGAAAAGGGTGTTTCAATATTGCTCGATGAAAGGAAAGATTCAACCCGGTGAGATGAACGCACATATCACAAAGAAGTTTCTCAGAAAGCTTCTGTCTAGCTTTTATGTGAAGATATTTCCTTTTAAACCATAGGCCACAATTCGCTCCAAATATCCACTTGCAGATTTATCAAAAAGACTGTTTCAAAACCCTCAATCAAAAGAAAGTTTCAACACTGTGAGATGAATGCACACACTAAAAAGAAGTTTCTCCGAATGCTTCTGTCTAGTTTTTATGTGAAGATATTTCCTTTTCCACCACAGGCCTGAAAGCACTCCAAATATTCACTTGCAGATTCTACAAAAAGAGTATTTCAAAACAGCTCCATCAAAAGAATGGTTCCGCTTGGTGAGATGAATGCACACATCACAAAGAAGTTTCTCAGAGTGCTTCTGTCTAGTTTTTACGTGAAGATATTTCCTTTTCCACCATAGACCACAAATCGCTCCAAATATCCACTTGCATATACAACAAAAAGAGTGTTTCAAAACTGCTCAATCAAAAGAAAGGTTCACCTCTGTGAGATGAATGCACACATCACAAAGTAGTTTCTCAGATTGCTTCTGTCTAGTTTTTATGTGAAGATATTTATTTTCCACCATAGGCCGCAAAGCGCTCCAAATATTCACTTGCAGATTCTAGAAAAAGAGTGTTTCAAAAGGCTAAATGAAAAGAAAGGTTCAACTCTGTGATATATATGCACACGTCACAAAGAAGTTTCTCAGAATGCTTCTGTCTACTATTTATGTGAAGGTATTTCCTTTTCCAAAATATGCCCCAAAGCGCTCCTATTATCCACAGGCAGATTCTACAAAAAGAGTGTCTCAAAACTTCTCAATCAAAAGAAAATTTCAACCCTGTGAGATGAATGCAAACATCACAAAGAAGTTTCTCAGAATGCTTCTGTCTAGTTTTTAAGTGAAGATATTTCCTTTTCCTCCATAGGCCTCAAAGCGCTCCAAATATCCTCTAGCAGATTCCACAAAAGGGTGTTTCAAAACTGCTTAATCAAAAGAAATGTTCAACTCTGTGAGAGGAATGCACACATCACAAATAAGTTTCTCAGAATGTTTCCTCTAGTTTTTATGTGAAGATATTTCCTTTTCCACCATAGTCCTCAAAGTGCTCCAAATATCCACTGGCTGATTCTCCGAAAAGAGCATTTCAAAACTGCTCAATCAAAAGAAATTTTCAATCTGTGAGATGAATGTGCACATCACAAAGAAGTTTGTCAGAATGCTTCCGTGTAGCTTTTATGTGCATTTATTCCCTTTTCCACAATAGGCCTCAAGTGGCTCCAAATGTCCACTTGCAGATTCTACAAAAAGAGAGTTTCAAAACTGCTCAGTCAAAAGAAATGTTAAACTCTCTCTGATGAATGCACACATCACAAAGAAGTTTCTCAGAATGCTTCCATCAAGTTTTTATGTGGAGATATTTCCTTTCTAGCATCGACCCCTAAGCACTCCAAATATCCACTTACAGATCCTTCAAAAAGTGTGTTTCAAAACTGCTGAATCAAAAGAAAGGTTCAACTCTGTGAGTTGAATGCACATATCAGAAAGAAGTTTCTCAGAATGCTTCTGTCTCGTTTATATGTGAAGGTATTTCCTTTTCCGTCAAACTCATCAAAGCGTTCCAAATATTCACTTGCACATTCTACAAAAAGAGTGTATCAAATCTGCTCAAGGAAAAGAATGGTTCAATTTGGTGAGATAAATGAACACATCACGAGGAAGTTTTGCAGAATGCTTCTGTCTAGTTTTTCTGTGAAAATATTGCCTTTACTACCATAGGACACAATCGCTCCAAATATCTATTTCAGATTCAAAAAAAAGGGTGTTTCAATATTGCTCGATGAAAGGAAAGATTCAACCCGGTGAGATGAACGCACATATCACAAAGAAGTTTCTCAGAAAGCTTCTGTCTAGCTTTTATGTGAAGATATTTCCTTTTAAACCATAGGCCACAATTCGCTCCAAATATCCACTTGCAGATTTATCAAAAAGACTGTTTCAAAACCCTCAATCAAAAGAAAGTTTCAACACTGTGAGATGAATGCACACACTAAAAAGAAGTTTCTCCGAATGCTTCTGTCTAGTTTTTATGTGAAGATATTCCCTTTTCCACCACAGGCCTGAAAGCACTCCAAATATTCACTTGCAGATTCTACAAAAAGAGTATTTCAAAACAGCTCCATCAAAAGAATGGTTCCGCTTGGTGAGATGAATGCACACATCACAAAGAAGTTTCTCAGAGTGCTTCTGTCTAGTTTTTACGTGAAGATATTTCCTTTTCCACCATAGACCACAAATCGCTCCAAATATCCACTTGCATATACAACAAAAAGAGTGTTTCAAAACTGCTCAATCAAAAGAAAGGTTCAACTCTGTGAGATGAATGCACACATCACAAAGTAGTTTCTCAGATTGCTTCTGTCTAGTTTTTATGTGAAGATATTTATTTTCCACCATAGGCCGCAAAGCGCTCCAAATATTCACTTGCAGATTCTAGAAAAAGAGTGTTTCAAAAGGCTAAATGAAAAGAAAGGTTCAACTCTGTGATATATATGCACACGTCACAAAGAAGTTTCTCAGAATGCTTCTGTCTACTATTTATGTGAAGGTATTTCCTTTTCCAAAATATGCCCCAAAGCGCTCCTATTATCCACAGGCAGATTCTACAAAAAGAGTGTCTCAAAACTTCTCAATCAAAAGAAAATTTCAACCCTGTGAGATGAATGCAAACATCACAAAGAAGTTTCTCAGAATGCTTCTGTCTAGTTTTTAAGTGAAGATATTTCCTTTTCCTCCATAGGCCTCAAAGCGCTCCAAATATCCTCTAGCAGATTCCACAAAAGAGTGTTTCAAAACTGCTTAATCAAAAGAAATGTTCAACTCTGTGAGAGGAATGCACACATCACAAATAAGTTTCTCAGAATGTTTCCTCTAGTTTTTATGTGAAGATATTTCCTTTTCCACCATAGTCCTCAAAGTGCTCCAAATATCCACTGGCTGATTCTCCGAAAAGAGCATTTCAAAACTGCTCAATCAAAAGAAATTTTCAATCTGTGAGATGAATGTGCACATCACAAAGAAGTTTGTCAGAATGCTTCCGTGTAGCTTTTATGTGCATTTATTCCCTTTTCCACAATAGGCCTCAAGTGGCTCCAAATGTCCACTTGCAGATTCTACAAAAAGAGAGTTTCAAAACTGCTCAGTCAAAAGAAATGTTAAACTCTCTCTGATGAATGCACACATCACAAAGAAGTTTCTCAGAATGCTTCCATCAAGTTTTTATGTGGAGATATTTCCTTTCTAGCATCGACCCCTAAGCACTCCAAATATCCACTTACAGATCCTTCAAAAAGTGTGTTTCAAAACTGCTGAATCAAAAGAAAGGTTCAACTCTGTGAGTTGAATGCACATATCAGAAAGAAGTTTCTCAGAATGCTTCTGTCTCGTTTATATGTGAAGGTATTTCCTTTTCCGTCAAACTCATCAAAGCGTTCCAAATATTCACTTGCACATTCTACAAAAAGAGTGTATCAAATCTGCTCAAGGAAAAGAATGGTTCAATTTGGTGAGATAAATGAACACATCACGAGGAAGTTTTGCAGAATGCTTCTGTCTAGTTTTTCTGTGAAAATATTGCCTTTACTACCATAGGACACAATCGCTCCAAATATGTATTTCAGATTCAAAGAAAAGGGTGTTTCAATATTGCTCGATGAAAGGAAAGATTCAACCCGGTGAGATGAACGCACATATCACAAAGAAGTTTCTCAGAAAGCTTCTGTCTAGCTTTTATGTGAAGATATTTCCTTTTAAACCATAGGCCACAATTCGCTCCAAATATCCACTTGCAGATTTATCAAAAAGACTGTTTCAAAACCCTCAATCAAAAGAAAGTTTCAACACTGTGAGATGAATGCACACACTAAAAAGAAGTTTCTCCGAATGCTTCTGTCTAGTTTTTATGTGAAGATATTTCCTTTTCCACCACAGGCCTGAAAGCACTCCAAATATTCACTTGCAGATTCTACAAAAAGAGTATTTCAAAACAGCTCCATCAAAAGAATGGTTCCGCTTGGTGAGATGAATGCACACATCACAAAGAAGTTTCTCAGAGTGCTTCTGTCTAGTTTTTACGTGAAGATATTTCCTTTTCCACCATAGACCACAAATCGCTCCAAATATCCACTTGCATATACAACAAAAAGAGTGTTTCAAAACTGCTCAATCAAAAGAAAGGTTCAACTCTGTGAGATGAATGCACACATCACAAAGTAGTTTCTCAGATTGCT
>NC_000020.11:28654556-28681099 GCF_000001405.40 Homo sapiens | reverse complement strand
CTTCTGTCTAGTTTTTATGTGAAGATAGTTCCTTTTCCACAATAGGCCCCAAAACGCTCCAAATATCCCCTTGCAGATACTACAAAAAGATGCTTTAAAAACTGCTCAATCTTCTTAATCCAGTCTATATACACCATGGAATACTATGAAGCCATAAAAAGTGATGAGTTCATAACCTTTTTAGGGACATGGATGAAATTGGAAGTCATCATTCTCAGTAAACTATCGCAAGAACAAAAAACCAAACACCGCATATTCTCACTCATAGGTGGGAATTGAACAATGAGATCACATGGACACAGTCTGTCTACTATTTATGTGAAGGTATTTCCTTTTCCAAAATATGCCCCAAAGCGCTCCTATTATCCACAGGCAGATTCTACAAAAAGAGTGTCTCAAAACTTCTCAATCAAAAGAAAATTTCAACCCTGTGAGATGAATGCAAACATCACAAAGAAGTTTCTCAGAATGCTTCTGTCTAGTTTTTAAGTGAAGATATTTCCTTTTCCTCCATAGGCCTCAAAGCGCTCCAAATATCCTCTAGCAGATTCCACAAAAGAGTGTTTCAAAACTGCTTAATCAAAAGAAATGTTCAACTCTGTGAGAGGAATGCACACATCACAAATAAGTTTCTCAGAATGTTTCCTCTAGTTTTTATGTGAAGATATTTCCTTTTCCACCATAGTCCTCAAAGTGCTCCAAATATCCACTGGCTGATTCTCCGAAAAGAGCATTTCAAAACTGCTCAATCAAAAGAAATTTTCAATCTGTGAGATGAATGTGCACATCACAAAGAAGTTTGTCAGAATGCTTCCGTGTAGCTTTTATGTGAATTTATTCCCTTTTCCACAATAGGCCTCAAGTGGCTCCAAATGTCCACTTGCAGATTCTACAAAAAGAGAGTTTCAAAACTGCTCAGTCAAAAGAAATGTTAAACTCTCTCTGATGAATGCACACATCACAAAGAAGTTTCTCAGAATGCTTCCATCAAGTTTTTATGTGGAGATATTTCCTTTCTAGCATCGACCCCTAAGCACTCCAAATATCCACTTACAGATCCTTCAAAAAGTGTGTTTCAAAACTGCTGAATCAAAAGAAAGGTTCAACTCTGTGAGTTGAATGCACATATCAGAAAGAAGTTTCTCAGAATGCTTCTGTCTCGTTTATATGTGAAGGTATTTCCTTTTCCGTCAAACTCATCAAAGCGTTCCAAATATTCACTTGCACATTCTACAAAAAGAGTGTATCAAATCTGCTCAAGGAAAAGAATGGTTCAATTTGGTGAGATAAATGAACACATCACGAGGAAGTTTTGCAGAATGCTTCTGTCTAGTTTTTCTGTGAAAATATTGCCTTTACTACCATAGGACACAATCGCTCCAAATATCTATTTCAGATTCAAAGAAAAGGGTGTTTCAATATTGCTCGATGAAAGGAAAGATTCAACCCGGTGAGATGAACGCACATATCACAAAGAAGTTTCTCAGAAAGCTTCTGTCTAGCTTTTATGTGAAGATATTTCCTTTTAAACCATAGGCCACAATTCGCTCCAAATATCCACTTGCAGATTTATCAAAAAGACTGTTTCAAAACCCTCAATCAAAAGAAAGTTTCAACACTGTGAGATGAATGCACACACTAAAAAGAAGTTTCTCCGAATGCTTCTGTCTAGTTTTTATGTGAAGATATTTCCTTTTCCACCACAGGCCTGAAAGCACTCCAAATATTCACTTGCAGATTCTACAAAAAGAGTATTTCAAAACAGCTCCATCAAAAGAATGGTTCCGCTTGGTGAGATGAATGCACACATCACAAAGAAGTTTCTCAGAGTGCTTCTGTCTAGTTTTTACGTGAAGATATTTCCTTTTCCACCATAGACCACAAATCGCTCCAAATATCCACTTGCATATACAACAAAAAGAGTGTTTCAAAACTGCTCAATCAAAAGAAAGGTTCACCTCTGTGAGATGAATGCACACATCACAAAGTAGTTTCTCAGATTGCTTCTGTCTAGTTTTTATGTGAAGATATTTATTTTCCACCATAGGCCGCAAAGCGCTCCAAATATTCACTTGCAGATTCTAGAAAAAGAGTGTTTCAAAAGGCTAAATGAAAAGAAAGGTTCAACTCTGTGATATATATGCACACGTCACAAAGAAGTTTCTCAGAATGCTTCTGTCTACTATTTATGTGAAGGTATTTCCTTTTCCAAAATATGCCCCAAAGCGCTCCTATTATCCACAGGCAGATTCTACAAA
This sequence comes from Homo sapiens, assembly GCF_000001405.40. Taxonomy (NCBI): domain Eukaryota; kingdom Metazoa; phylum Chordata; class Mammalia; order Primates; family Hominidae; genus Homo; species Homo sapiens. Next base: position 28,678,841 of record NC_000020.11, on the reverse strand, counting down.
AAGAGTGTCTCAAAACTTCTCAATCAAAAGAAAATTTCAACCCTGTGAGATGAATGCAAACATCACAAAGAAGTTTCTCAGAATGCTTCTGTCTAGTTTTTAAGTGAAGATATTTCCTTTTCCTCCATAGGCCTCAAAGCGCTCCAAATATCCTCTAGCAGATTCCACAAAAGAGTGTTTCAAAACTGCTTAATCAAAAGAAATGTTCAACTCTGTGAGAGGAATGCACACATCACAAATAAGTTTCTCAGAATGTTTCCTCTAGTTTTTATGTGAAGATATTTCCTTTTCCACCATAGTCCTCAAAGTGCTCCAAATATCCACTGGCTGATTCTCCGAAAAGAGCATTTCAAAACTGCTCAATCAAAAGAAATTTTCAATCTGTGAGATGAATGTGCACATCACAAAGAAGTTTGTCAGAATGCTTCCGTGTAGCTTTTATGTGCATTTATTCCCTTTTCCACAATAGGCCTCAAGTGGCTCCAAATGTCCACTTGCAGATTCTACAAAAAGAGAGTTTCAAAACTGCTCAGTCAAAAGAAATGTTAAACTCTCTCTGATGAATGCACACATCACAAAGAAGTTTCTCAGAATGCTTCCATCTAGTTTTTATGTGGAGATATTTCCTTTTCCGCCATCGGCCCCTAAGCACTCCAAATATCCACTTATAGATTCTTCAAAAAGCGTGTTTCAAAACTGCTGAATCAAAAGAAAGGTTCAACTCTGTGAGTTGAATGCACATATCAGAGAAAAGTTTCTCAGAATGCTTCTATCTAGTTTATATGTGAAGGTATTTCCTTTTCCATCATACTCATCAAAGCGTTCCAAATATTCCCTTGCACATTCTACAAAAAGAGTGTATCAAATCTTCTCAGTGAAAAGAATGGTTCAATTTGGTGAGATAAATGAACACATCATGAGGAAGTTTCGCAGAATGCTTCTGTCTAGTTTTTCTGTGAAAATATTGCCTTTACTACCATAGGACACAATCGCTCCAAATATCTATTTCAGATTCAAAGAAAAGGGTGTTTCAATATTGCTCGATGAAAGGAAAGATTCAACCCGGTGAGATGAACGCACATATCACAAAGAAGTTTCTCAGAAAGCTTCTGTCTAGCTTTTATGTGAAGATATTTCCTTTTAAACCATAGGCCACAATTCGCTCCAAATATCCACTTGCAGATTTATCAAAAAGACTGTTTCAAAACCCTCAATCAAAAGAAAGTTTCAACACTGTGAGATGAATGCACACACTAAAAAGAAGTTTCTCCGAATGCTTCTGTCTAGTTTTTATGTGAAGATATTTCCTTTTCCACCACAGGCCTGAAAGCACTCCAAATATTCACTTGCAGATTCTACAAAAAGAGTATTTCAAAACAGCTCCATCAAAAGAATGGTTCCGCTTGGTGAGATGAATGCACACATCACAAAGAAGTTTCTCAGAGTGCTTCTGTCTAGTTTTTACGTGAAGATATTTCCTTTTCCACCATAGACCACAAATCGCTCCAAATATCCACTTGCATATACAACAAAAAGAGTGTTTCAAAACTGCTCAATCAAAAGAAAGGTTCACCTCTGTGAGATGAATGCACACATCACAAAGTAGTTTCTCAGATTGCTTCTGTCTAGTTTTTATGTGAAGATATTTATTTTCCACCATAGGCCGCAAAGCGCTCCAAATATTCACTTGCAGATTCTAGAAAAAGAGTGTTTCAAAAGGCTAAATGAAAAGAAAGGTTCAACTCTGTGATATATATGCACACGTCACAAAGAAGTTTCTCAGAATGCTTCTGTCTACTATTTATGTGAAGGTATTTCCTTTTCCAAAATATGCCCCAAAGCGCTCCTATTATCCACAGGCAGATTCTACAAAAAGAGTGTCTCAAAACTTCTCAATCAAAAGAAAATTTCAACCCTGTGAGATGAATGCAAACATCACAAAGAAGTGTCTCAGAATGCTTCTGTCTAGTTTTTAAGTGAAGATATTTCCTTTTCCTCCATAGGCCTCAAAGCGCTCCAAATATCCTCTAGCAGATTCCACAAAAGAGTGTTTCAAAACTGCTTAATCAAAAGAAATGTTCAACTCTGTGAGAGGAATGCACACATCACAAATAAGTTTCTCAGAATGTTTCCTCTAGTTTTTATGTGAAGATATTTCCTTTTCCACCATAGTCCTCAAAGTGCTCCAAATATCCACTGGCTGATTCTCCGAAAAGAGCATTTCAAAACTGCTCAATCAAAAGAAATTTTCAATCTGTGAGATGAATGTGCACATCACAAAGAAGTTTGTCAGAATGCTTCCGTGTAGCTTTTATGTGCATTTATTCCCTTTTCCACAATAGGCCTCAAGTGGCTCCAAATGTCCACTTGCAGATTCTACAAAAAGAGAGTTTCAAAACTGCTCAGTCAAAAGAAATGTTAAACTCTCTCTGATGAATGCACACATCACAAAGAAGTTTCTCAGAATGCTTCCATCAAGTTTTTATGTGGAGATATTTCCTTTCTAGCATCGACCCCTAAGCACTCCAAATATCCACTTACAGATCCTTCAAAAAGTGTGTTTCAAAACTGCTGAATCAAAAGAAAGGTTCAACTCTGTGAGTTGAATGCACATATCAGAAAGAAGTTTCTCAGAATGCTTCTGTCTCGTTTATATGTGAAGGTATTTCCTTTTCCGTCAAACTCATCAAAGCGTTCCAAATATTCACTTGCACATTCTACAAAAAGAGTGTATCAAATCTGCTCAAGGAAAAGAATGGTTCAATTTGGTGAGATAAATGAACACATCACGAGGAAGTTTTGCAGAATGCTTCTGTCTAGTTTTTCTGTGAAAATATTGCCTTTACTACCATAGGACACAATCGCTCCAAATATCTATTTCAGATTCAAAGAAAAGGGTGTTTCAATATTGCTCGATGAAAGGAAAGATTCAACCCGGTGAGATGAACGCACATATCACAAAGAAGTTTCTCAGAAAGCTTCTGTCTAGCTTTTATGTGAAGATATTTCCTTTTAAACCATAGGCCACAATTCGCTCCAAATATCCACTTGCAGATTTATCAAAAAGACTGTTTCAAAACCCTCAATCAAAAGAAAGTTTCAACACTGTGAGATGAATGCACACACTAAAAAGAAGTTTCTCCGAATGCTTCTGTCTAGTTTTTATGTGAAGATATTTCCTTTTCCACCACAGGCCTGAAAGCACTCCAAATATTCACTTGCAGATTCTACAAAAAGAGTATTTCAAAACAGCTCCATCAAAAGAATGGTTCCGCTTGGTGAGATGAATGCACACATCACAAAGAAGTTTCTCAGAGTGCTTCTGTCTAGTTTTTACGTGAAGATATTTCCTTTTCCACCATAGACCACAAATCGCTCCAAATATCCACTTGCATATACAACAAAAAGAGTGTTTCAAAACTGCTCAATCAAAAGAAAGGTTCAACTCTGTGAGATGAATGCACACATCACAAAGTAGTTTCTCAGATTGCTTCTGTCTAGTTTTTATGTGAAGATATTTATTTTCCACCATAGGCCGCAAAGCGCTCCAAATATTCACTTGCAGATTCTAGAAAAAGAGTGTTTCAAAAGGCTAAATGAAAAGAAAGGTTCAACTCTGTGATATATATGCACACGTCACAAAGAACTTTCTCAGAATGCTTCTGTCTACTATTTATGTGAAGGTATTTCCTTTTCCAAAATATGCCCCAAAGCGCTCCTATTATCCACAGGCAGATTCTACAAAAAGAGTGTCTCAAAACTTCTCAATCAAAAGAAAATTTCAACCCTGTGAGATGAATGCAAACATCACAAAGAAGTTTCTCAGAATGCTTCTGTCTAGTTTTTAAGTGAAGATATTTCCTTTTCCTCCATAGGCCTCAAAGCGCTCCAAATATCCTCTAGCAGATTCCACAAAAGAGTGTTTCAAAACTGCTTAATCAAAAGAAATGTTCAACTCTGTGAGAGGAATGCACACATCACAAATAAGTTTCTCAGAATGTTTCCTCTAGTTTTTATGTGAAGATATTTCCTTTTCCACCATAGTCCTCAAAGTGCTCCAAATATCCACTGGCTGATTCTCCGAAAAGAGCATTTCAAAACTGCTCAATCAAAAGAAATTTTCAATCTGTGAGATGAATGTGCACATCACAAAGAAGTTTGTCAGAATGCTTCCGTGTAGCTTTTATGTGAATTTATTCCCTTTTCCACAATAGGCCTCAAGTGGCTCCAAATGTCCACTTGCAGATTCTACAAAAAGAGAGTTTCAAAACTGCTCAGTCAAAAGAAATGTTAAACTCTCTCTGATGAATGCACACATCACAAAGAAGTTTCTCAGAATGCTTCCATCAAGTTTTTATGTGGAGATATTTCCTTTCTAGCATCGACCCCTAAGCACTCCAAATATCCACTTACAGATCCTTCAAAAAGTGTGTTTCAAAACTGCTGAATCAAAAGAAAGGTTCAACTCTGTGAGTTGAATGCACATATCAGAAAGAAGTTTCTCAGAATGCTTCTGTCTCGTTTATATGTGAAGGTATTTCCTTTTCCGTCAAACTCATCAAAGCGTTCCAAATATTCACTTGCACATTCTACAAAAAGAGTGTATCAAATCTGCTCAAGGAAAAGAATGGTTCAATTTGGTGAGATAAATGAACACATCACGAGGAAGTTTTGCAGAATGCTTCTGTCTAGTTTTTCTGTGAAAATATTGCCTTTACTACCATAGGACACAATCGCTCCAAATATCTATTTCAGATTCAAAGAAAAGGGTGTTTCAATATTGCTCGATGAAAGGAAAGATTCAACCCGGTGAGATGAACGCACATATCACAAAGAAGTTTCTCAGAAAGCTTCTGTCTAGCTTTTATGTGAAGATATTTCCTTTTAAACCATAGGCCACAATTCGCTCCAAATATCCACTTGCAGATTTATCAAAAAGACTGTTTCAAAACCCTCAATCAAAAGAAAGTTTCAACACTGTGAGATGAATGCACACACTAAAAAGAAGTTTCTCCGAATGCTTCTGTCTAGTTTTTATGTGAAGATATTTCCTTTTCCACCACAGGCCTGAAAGCACTCCAAATATTCACTTGCAGATTCTACAAAAAGAGTATTTCAAAACAGCTCCATCAAAAGAATGGTTCCGCTTGGTGAGATGAATGCACACATCACAAAGAAGTTTCTCAGAGTGCTTCTGTCTAGTTTTTACGTGAAGATATTTCCTTTTCCACCATAGACCACAAATCGCTCCAAATATCCACTTGCATATACAACAAAAAGAGTGTTTCAAAACTGCTCAATCAAAAGAAAGGTTCACCTCTGTGAGATGAATGCACACATCACAAAGTAGTTTTTCAGATTGCTTCTGTCTAGTTTTTATGTGAAGATATTTATTTTCCACCATAGGCCGCAAAGCGCTCCAAATATTCACTTGCAGATTCTAGAAAAAGAGTGTTTCAAAAGGCTAAATGAAAAGAAAGGTTCAACTCTGTGATATATATGCACACGTCACAAAGAAGTTTCTCAGAATGCTTCTGTCTACTATTTATGTGAAGGTATTTCCTTTTCCAAAATATGCCCCAAAGCGCTCCTATTATCCACAGGCAGATTCTACAAAAAGAGTGTCTCAAAACTTCTCAATCAAAAGAAAATTTCAACCCTGTGAGATGAATGCAAACATCACAAAGAAGTTTCTCAGAATGCTTCTGTCTAGTTTTTAAGTGAAGATATTTCCTTTTCCTCCATAGGCCTCAAAGCGCTCCAAATATCCTCTAGCAGATTCCACAAAAGGGTGTTTCAAAACTGCTTAATCAAAAGAAATGTTCAACTCTGTGAGAGGAATGCACACATCACAAATAAGTTTCTCAGAATGTTTCCTCTAGTTTTTATGTGAAGATATTTCCTTTTCCACCATAGTCCTCAAAGTGCTCCAAATATCCACTGGCTGATTCTCCGAAAAGAGCATTTCAAAACTGCTCAATCAAAAGAAATTTTCAATCTGTGAGATGAATGTGCACATCACAAAGAAGTTTGTCAGAATGCTTCCGTGTAGCTTTTATGTGCATTTATTCCCTTTTCCACGATAGGCCTCAAGTGGCTCCAAATGTCCACTTGCAGATTCTACAAAAAGAGAGTTTCAAAACTGCTCAGTCAAAAGAAATGTTAAACTCTCTCTGATGAATGCACACATCACAAAGAAGTTTCTCAGAATGCTTCCATCAAGTTTTTATGTGGAGATATTTCCTTTCTAGCATCGACCCCTAAGCACTCCAAATATCCACTTACAGATCCTTCAAAAAGTGTGTTTCAAAACTGCTGAATCAAAAGAAAGGTTCAACTCTGTGAGTTGAATGCACATATCAGAAAGAAGTTTCTCAGAATGCTTCTGTCTCGTTTATATGTGAAGGTATTTCCTTTTCCGTCAAACTCATCAAAGCGTTCCAAATATTCACTTGCACATTCTACAAAAAGAGTGTATCAAATCTGCTCAAGGAAAAGAATGGTTCAATTTGGTGAGATAAATGAACACATCACGAGGAAGTTTTGCAGAATGCTTCTGTCTAGTTTTTCTGTGAAAATATTGCCTTTACTACCATAGGACACAATCGCTCCAAATATCTATTTCAGATTCAAAGAAAAGGGTGTTTCAATATTGCTCGATGAAAGGAAAGATTCAACCCGGTGAGATGAACGCACATATCACAAAGAAGTTTCTCAGAAAGCTTCTGTCTAGCTTTTATGTGAAGATATTTCCTTTTAAACCATAGGCCACAATTCGCTCCAAATATCCACTTGCAGATTTATCAAAAAGACTGTTTCAAAACCCTCAATCAAAAGAAAGTTTCAACACTGTGAGATGAATGCACACACTAAAAAGAAGTTTCTCCGAATGCTTCTGTCTAGTTTTTATGTGAAGATATTTCCTTTTCCACCACAGGCCTGAAAGCACTCCAAATATTCACTTGCAGATTCTACAAAAAGAGTATTTCAAAACAGCTCCATCAAAAGAATGGTTCCGCTTGGTGAGATGAATGCACACATCACAAAGAAGTTTCTCAGAGTGCTTCTGTCTAGTTTTTACGTGAAGATATTTCCTTTTCCACCATAGACCACAAATCGCTCCAAATATCCACTTGCATATACAACAAAAAGAGTGTTTCAAAACTGCTCAATCAAAAGAAAGGTTCAACTCTGTGAGATGAAGGCACTTATCACAGAGAAGTTTCTCAGAATGCTTCTGTCTAGTTTTTATGTGAAGATATTTATTTTCCACCATAGGCCGCAAAGCGCTCCAAATATTCACTTGCAGATTCTAGAAAAAGAGTGTTTCAAAAGGCTAAATGAAAAGAAAGGTTCAACTCTGTGATATATATGCACACGTCACAAAGAAGTTTCTCAGAATGCTTCTGTCTACTATTTATGTGAAGGTATTTCCTTTTCCAAAATATGCCCCAAAGCGCTCCTATTATCCACAGGCAGATTCTACAAAAAGAGTGTCTCAAAACTTCTCAATCAAAAGAAAATTTCAACCCTGTGAGATGAATGCAAACATCACAAAGAAGTTTCTCAGAATGCTTCTGTCTAGTTTTTAAGTGAAGATATTTCCTTTTCCTCCATAGGCCTCAAAGCGCTCCAAATATCCTCTAGCAGATTCCACAAAAGAGTGTTTCAAAACTGCTTAATCAAAAGAAATGTTCAACTCTGTGAGAGGAATGCACACATCACAAATAAGTTTCTCAGAATGTTTTCCTCTAGTTTTTATGTGAAGATATTTCCTTTTCCACCATAGTCCTCAAAGTGCTCCAAATATCCACTGGCTGATTCTCCGAAAAGAGCATTTCAAAACTGCTCAATCAAAAGAAATTTTCAATCTGTGAGATGAATGTGCACATCACAAAGAAGTTTGTCAGAATGCTTTCCGTGTAGCTTTTATGTGCATTTATTCCCTTTTCCACAATAGGCCTCAAGTGGCTCCAAATGTCCACTTGCAGATTCTACAAAAAGAGAGTTTCAAAACTGCTCAGTCAAAAGAAATGTTAAACTCTCTCTGATGAATGCACACATCACAAAGAAGTTTCTCAGAATGCTTCCATCAAGTTTTTATGTGGAGATATTTCCTTTCTAGCATCGACCCCTAAGCACTCCAAATATCCACTTACAGATCCTTCAAAAAGTGTGTTTCAAAACTGCTGAATCAAAAGAAAGGTTCAACTCTGTGAGTTGAATGCACATATCAGAAAGAAGTTTCTCAGAATGCTTCTGTCTCGTTTATATGTGAAGGTATTTCCTTTTCCGTCAAACTCATCAAAGCGTTCCAAATATTCACTTGCACATTCTACAAAAAGAGTGTATCAAATCTGCTCAAGGAAAAGAATGGTTCAATTTGGTGAGATAAATGAACACATCACGAGGAAGTTTTGCAGAATGCTTCTGTCTAGTTTTTCTGTGAAAATATTGCCTTTACTACCATAGGACACAATCGCTCCAAATATGTATTTCAGATTCAAAGAAAAGGGTGTTTCAATATTGCTCGATGAAAGGAAAGATTCAACCCGGTGAGATGAACGCACATATCACAAAGAAGTTTCTCAGAAAGCTTCTGTCTAGCTTTTATGTGAAGATATTTCCTTTTAAACCATAGGCCACAATTCGCTCCAAATATCCACTTGCAGATTTATCAAAAAGACTGTTTCAAAACCCTCAATCAAAAGAAAGTTTCAACACTGTGAGATGAATGCACACACTAAAAAGAAGTTTCTCCGAATGCTTCTGTCTAGTTTTTATGTGAAGATATTTCCTTTTCCACCACAGGCCTGAAAGCACTCCAAATATTCACTTGCAGATTCTACAAAAAGAGTATTTCAAAACAGCTCCATCAAAAGAATGGTTCCGCTTGGTGAGATGAATGCACACATCACAAAGAAGTTTCTCAGAGTGCTTCTGTCTAGTTTTTACGTGAAGATATTTCCTTTTCCACCATAGACCACAAATCGCTCCAAATATCCACTTGCATATACAACAAAAAGAGTGTTTCAAAACTGCTCAATCAAAAGAAAGGTTCAACTCTGTGAGATGAATGCACACATCACAAAGTAGTTTCTCAGATTGCTTCTGTCTAGTTTTTATGTGAAGATATTTATTTTCCACCATAGGCCGCAAAGCGCTCCAAATATTCACTTGCAGATTCTAGAAAAAGAGTGTTTCAAAAGGCTAAATGAAAAGAAAGGTTCAACTCTGTGATATATATGCACACGTCACAAAGAAGTTTCTCAGAATGCTTCTGTCTACTATTTATGTGAAGGTATTTCCTTTTCCAAAATATGCCCCACAGCGCTCCTATTATCCACAGGCAGATTCTACAAAAAGAGTGTCTCAAAACTTCTCAATCGAAAGAAAATTTCAACCCTGTGAGATGAATGCAAACATCACAAAGAAGTTTCTCAGAATGCTTCTGTCTAGTTTTTAAGTGAAGATATTTCCTTTTCCTCCATAGGCCTCAAAGCGCTCCAAATATCCTCTAGCAGATTCCACAAAAGGGTGTTTCAAAACTGCTTAATCAAAAGAAATGTTCAACTCTGTGAGAGGAATGCACACATCACAAATAAGTTTCTCAGAATGTTTCCTCTAGTTTTTATGTGAAGATATTTCCTTTTCCACCATAGTCCTCAAAGCGCTCCAAATATCCACTGGCCAATTCTCCAAAAAGAGCATTTCAAAACTGCTCAATCAAAAGAAATTTTCAAATACTGTGAGATGAATGTGCACATCACAAAGAAGTTTCTCAGAATGCTTCCGTGTAGCTTTTATGTGAATTTATTCCCTTTTCCACAATAGGCCTCAAGTGGCTCCAAATGTCCACTTGCAGATTCTACAAAAAGAGAGTTTCAAAACTGCTCAGTCAAAAGAAATGTTAAACTCTCTCTGATGAATGCACACATCACAAAGAAGTTTCTCAGAATGCTTCCATCAAGTTTTTATGTGGAGATATTTCCTTTCTAGCATCGACCCCTAAGCACTCCAAATATCCACTTACAGATCCTTCAAAAAGTGTGTTTCAAAACTGCTGAATCAAAAGAAAGGTTCAACTCTGTGAGTTGAATGCACATATCAGAAAGAAGTTTCTCAGAATGCTTCTGTCTCGTTTATATGTGAAGGTATTTCCTTTTCCGTCAAACTCATCAAAGCGTTCCAAATATTCACTTGCACATTCTACAAAAAGAGTGTATCAAATCTGCTCAAGGAAAAGAATGGTTCAATTTGGTGAGATAAATGAACACATCACGAGGAAGTTTTGCAGAATGCTTCTGTCTAGTTTTTCTGTGAAAATATTGCCTTTACTACCATAGGACACAATCGCTCCAAATATCTATTTCAGATTCAAAGAAAAGGGTGTTTCAATATTGCTCGATGAAAGGAAAGATTCAACCCGGTGAGATGAACGCACATATCACAAAGAAGTTTCTCAGAAAGCTTCTGTCTAGCTTTTATGTGAAGATATTTCCTTTTAAACCATAGGCCACAATTCGCTCCAAATATCCACTTGCAGATTTATCAAAAAGACTGTTTCAAAACCCTCAATCAAAAGAAAGTTTCAACACTGTGAGATGAATGCACACACTAAAAAGAAGTTTCTCCGAATGCTTCTGTCTAGTTTTTATGTGAAGATATTTCCTTTTCCACCACAGGCCTGAAAGCACTCCAAATATTCACTTGCAGATTCTACAAAAAGAGTATTTCAAAACAGCTCCATCAAAAGAATGGTTCCGCTTGGTGAGATGAATGCACACATCACAAAGAAGTTTCTCAGAGTGCTTCTGTCTAGTTTTTACGTGAAGATATTTCCTTTTCCACCATAGACCACAAATCGCTCCAAATATCCACTTGCATATACAACAAAAAGAGTGTTTCAAAACTGCTCAATCAAAAGAAAGGTTCACCTCTGTGAGATGAATGCACACATCACAAAGTAGTTTCTCAGATTGCTTCTGTCTAGTTTTTATGTGAAGATATTTATTTTCCACCATAGGCCGCAAAGCGCTCCAAATATTCACTTGCAGATTCTAGAAAAAGAGTGTTTCAAAAGGCTAAATGAAAAGAAAGGTTCAACTCTGTGATATATATGCACACGTCACAAAGAAGTTTCTCAGAATGCTTCTGTCTACTATTTATGTGAAGGTATTTCCTTTTCCAAAATATGCCCCAAAGCGCTCCTATTATCCACAGGCAGATTCTACAAAAAGAGTGTCTCAAAACTTCTCAATCAAAAGAAAATTTCAACCCTGTGAGATGAATGCAAACATCACAAAGAAGTCTCTCAGAATGCTTCTGTCTAGTTTTTAAGTGAAGATATTTCCTTTTCCTCCATAGGCCTCAAAGCGCTCCAAATATCCTCTAGCAGATTCCACAAAAGGGTGTTTCAAAACTGCTTAATCAAAAGAAATGTTCAACTCTGTGAGAGGAATGCACACATCACAAATAAGTTTCTCAGAATGTTTCCTCTAGTTTTTATGTGAAGATATTTCCTTTTCCACCATAGTCCTCAAAGTGCTCCAAATATCCACTGGCTGATTCTCCGAAAAGAGCATTTCAAAACTGCTCAATCAAAAGAAATTTTCAATCTGTGAGATGAATGTGCACATCACAAAGAAGTTTGTCAGAATGCTTCCGTGTAGCTTTTATGTGCATTTATTCCCTTTTCCACAATAGGCCTCAAGTGGCTCCAAATGTCCACTTGCAGATTCTACAAAAAGAGAGTTTCAAAACTGCTCAGTCAAAAGAAATGTTAAACTCTCTCTGATGAATGCACACATCACAAAGAAGTTTCTCAGAATGCTTCCATCAAGTTTTTATGTGGAGATATTTCCTTTCTAGCATCGACCCCTAAGCACTCCAAATATCCACTTACAGATCCTTCAAAAAGTGTGTTTCAAAACTGCTGAATCAAAAGAAAGGTTCAACTCTGTGAGTTGAATGCACATATCAGAAAGAAGTTTCTCAGAATGCTTCTGTCTCGTTTATATGTGAAGGTATTTCCTTTTCCGTCAAACTCATCAAAGCGTTCCAAATATTCACTTGCACATTCTACAAAAAGAGTGTATCAAATCTGCTCAAGGAAAAGAATGGTTCAATTTGGTGAGATAAATGAACACATCACGAGGAAGTTTTGCAGAATGCTTCTGTCTAGTTTTTCTGTGAAAATATTGCCTTTACTACCATAGGACACAATCGCTCCAAATATCTATTTCAGATTCAAAGAAAAGGGTGTTTCAATATTGCTCGATGAAAGGAAAGATTCAACCCGGTGAGATGAACGCACGTATCACAAAGAAGTTTCTCAGAAAGCTTCTGTCTAGCTTTTATGTGAAGATATTTCCTTTTAAACCATAGGCCACAATTCGCTCCAAATATCCACTTGCAGATTTATCAAAAAGACTGTTTCAAAACCCTCAATCAAAAGAAAGTTTCAACACTGTGAGATGAATGCACACACTAAAAAGAAGTTTCTCCGAATGCTTCTGTCTAGTTTTTATGTGAAGATATTTCCTTTTCCACCACAGGCCTGAAAGCACTCCAAATATTCACTTGCAGATTCTACAAAAAGAGTATTTCAAAACAGCTCCATCAAAAGAATGGTTCCGCTTGGTGAGATGAATGCACACATCACAAAGAAGTTTCTCAGAGTGCTTCTGTCTAGTTTTTACGTGAAGATATTTCCTTTTCCACCATAGACCACAAATCGCTCCAAATATCCACTTGCATATACAACAAAAAGAGTGTTTCAAAACTGCTCAATCAAAAGAAAGGTTCAACTCTGTGAGATGAATGCACACATCACAAAGTAGTTTCTCAGATTGCTTCTGTCTAGTTTTTATGTGAAGATATTTATTTTCCACCATAGGCCGCAAAGCGCTCCAAATATTCACTTGCAGATTCTAGAAAAAGAGTGTTTCAAAAGGCTAAATGAAAAGAAAGGTTCAACTCTGTGATATATATGCACACGTCACAAAGAACTTTCTCAGAATGCTTCTGTCTACTATTTATGTGAAGGTATTTCCTTTTCCAAAATATGCCCCAAAGCGCTCCTATTATCCACAGGCAGATTCTACAAAAAGAGTGTCTCAAAACTTCTCAATCAAAAGAAAATTTCAACCCTGTGAGATGAATGCAAACATCACAAAGAAGTTTCTCAGAATGCTTCTGTCTAGTTTTTAAGTGAAGATATTTCCTTTTCCTCCATAGGCCTCAAAGCGCTCCAAATATCCTCTAGCAGATTCCACAAAAGAGTGTTTCAAAACTGCTTAATCAAAAGAAATGTTCAACTCTGTGAGAGGAATGCACACATCACAAATAAGTTTCTCAGAATGTTTCCTCTAGTTTTTATGTGAAGATATTTCCTTTTCCACCATAGTCCTCAAAGTGCTCCAAATATCCACTGGCTGATTCTCCGAAAAGAGCATTTCAAAACTGCTCAATCAAAAGAAATTTTCAATCTGTGAGATGAATGTGCACATCACAAAGAAGTTTGTCAGAATGCTTCCGTGTAGCTTTTATGTGCATTTATTCCCTTTTCCACAATAGGCCTCAAGTGGCTCCAAATGTCCACTTGCAGATTCTACAAAAAGAGAGTTTCAAAACTGCTCAGTCAAAAGAAATGTTAAACTCTCTCTGATGAATGCACACATCACAAAGAAGTTTCTCAGAATGCTTCCATCAAGTTTTTATGTGGAGATATTTCCTTTCTAGCATCGACCCCTAAGCACTCCAAATATCCACTTACAGATCCTTCAAAAAGTGTGTTTCAAAACTGCTGAATCAAAAGAAAGGTTCAACTCTGTGAGTTGAATGCACATATCAGAAAGAAGTTTCTCAGAATGCTTCTGTCTCGTTTATATGTGAAGGTATTTCCTTTTCCGTCAAACTCATCAAAGCGTTCCAAATATTCACTTGCACATTCTACAAAAAGAGTGTATCAAATCTGCTCAAGGAAAAGAATGGTTCAATTTGGTGAGATAAATGAACACATCACGAGGAAGTTTTGCAGAATGCTTCTGTCTAGTTTTTCTGTGAAAATATTGCCTTTACTACCATAGGACACAATCGCTCCAAATATCTATTTCAGATTCAAAAAAAAGGGTGTTTCAATATTGCTCGATGAAAGGAAAGATTCAACCCGGTGAGATGAACGCACATATCACAAAGAAGTTTCTCAGAAAGCTTCTGTCTAGCTTTTATGTGAAGATATTTCCTTTTAAACCATAGGCCACAATTCGCTCCAAATATCCACTTGCAGATTTATCAAAAAGACTGTTTCAAAACCCTCAATCAAAAGAAAGTTTCAACACTGTGAGATGAATGCACACACTAAAAAGAAGTTTCTCCGAATGCTTCTGTCTAGTTTTTATGTGAAGATATTTCCTTTTCCACCACAGGCCTGAAAGCACTCCAAATATTCACTTGCAGATTCTACAAAAAGAGTATTTCAAAACAGCTCCATCAAAAGAATGGTTCCGCTTGGTGAGATGAATGCACACATCACAAAGAAGTTTCTCAGAGTGCTTCTGTCTAGTTTTTACGTGAAGATATTTCCTTTTCCACCATAGACCACAAATCGCTCCAAATATCCACTTGCATATACAACAAAAAGAGTGTTTCAAAACTGCTCAATCAAAAGAAAGGTTCACCTCTGTGAGATGAATGCACACATCACAAAGTAGTTTTTCAGATTGCTTCTGTCTAGTTTTTATGTGAAGATATTTATTTTCCACCATAGGCCGCAAAGCGCTCCAAATATTCACTTGCAGATTCTAGAAAAAGAGTGTTTCAAAAGGCTAAATGAAAAGAAAGGTTCAACTCTGTGATATATATGCACACGTCACAAAGAAGTTTCTCAGAATGCTTCTGTCTACTATTTATGTGAAGGTATTTCCTTTTCCAAAATATGCCCCAAAGCGCTCCTATTATCCACAGGCAGATTCTACAAAAAGAGTGTCTCAAAACTTCTCAATCAAAAGAAAATTTCAACCCTGTGAGATGAATGCAAACATCACAAAGAAGTTTCTCAGAATGCTTCTGTCTAGTTTTTAAGTGAAGATATTTCCTTTTCCTCCATAGGCCTCAAAGCGCTCCAAATATCCTCTAGCAGATTCCACAAAAGAGTGTTTCAAAACTGCTTAATCAAAAGAAATGTTCAACTCTGTGAGAGGAATGCACACATCACAAATAAGTTTCTCAGAATGTTTCCTCTAGTTTTTATGTGAAGATATTTCCTTTTCCACCATAGTCCTCAAAGTGCTCCAAATATCCACTGGCTGATTCTCCGAAAAGAGCATTTCAAAACTGCTCAATCAAAAGAAATTTTCAATCTGTGAGATGAATGTGCACATCACAAAGAAGTTTGTCAGAATGCTTCCGTGTAGCTTTTATGTGCATTTATTCCCTTTTCCACAATAGGCCTCAAGTGGCTCCAAATGTCCACTTGCAGATTCTACAAAAAGAGAGTTTCAAAACTGCTCAGTCAAAAGAAATGTTAAACTCTCTCTGATGAATGCACACATCACAAAGAAGTTTCTCAGAATGCTTCCATCTAGTTTTTATGTGGAGATATTTCCTTTTCCGCCATCGGCCCCTAAGCACTCCAAATATCCACTTATAGATTCTTCAAAAAGCGTGTTTCAAAACTGCTGAATCAAAAGAAAGGTTCAACTCTGTGAGTTGAATGCACATATCAGAGAAAAGTTTCTCAGAATGCTTCTGTCTCGTTTATATGTGAAGGTATTTCCTTTTCCGTCAAACTCATCAAAGCGTTCCAAATATTCACTTGCACATTCTACAAAAAGAGTGTATCAAATCTGCTCAAGGAAAAGAATGGTTCAATTTGGTGAGATAAATGAACACATCACGAGGAAGTTTTGCAGAATGCTTCTGTCTAGTTTTTCTGTGAAAATATTGCCTTTACTACCATAGGACACAATCGCTCCAAATATCTATTTCAGATTCAAAGAAAAGGGTGTTTCAATATTGCTCGATGAAAGGAAAGATTCAACCCGGTGAGATGAACGCACATATCACAAAGAAGTTTCTCAGAAAGCTTCTGTCTAGCTTTTATGTGAAGATATTTCCTTTTAAACCATAGGCCACAATTCGCTCCAAATATCCACTTGCAGATTTATCAAAAAGACTGTTTCAAAACCCTCAATCAAAAGAAAGTTTCAACACTGTGAGATGAATGCACACACTAAAAAGAAGTTTCTCCGAATGCTTCTGTCTAGTTTTTATGTGAAGATATTTCCTTTTCCACCACAGGCCTGAAAGCACTCCAAATATTCACTTGCAGATTCTACAAAAAGAGTATTTCAAAACAGCTCCATCAAAAGAATGGTTCCGCTTGGTGAGATGAATGCACACATCACAAAGAAGTTTCTCAGAGTGCTTCTGTCTAGTTTTTACGTGAAGATATTTCCTTTTCCACCATAGACCACAAATCGCTCCAAATATCCACTTGCATATACAACAAAAAGAGTGTTTCAAAACTGCTCAATCAAAAGAAAGGTTCACCTCTGTGAGATGAATGCACACATCACAAAGTAGTTTCTCAGATTGCTTCTGTCTAGTTTTTATGTGAAGATATTTATTTTCCACCATAGGCCGCAAAGCGCTCCAAATATTCACTTGCAGATTCTAGAAAAAGAGTGTTTCAAAAGGGTAAATGAAAAGAAAGGTTCAACTCTGTGATATATATGCACACGTCACAAAGAAGTTTCTCAGAATGCTTCTGTCTACTATTTATGTGAAGGTATTTCCTTTTCCAAAATATGCCCCACAGCGCTCCTATTATCCACAGGCAGATTCTACAAAAAGAGTGTCTCAAAACTTCTCAATCAAAAGAAAATTTCAACCCTGTGAGATGAATGCAAACATCACAAAGAAGTTTCTCAGAATGCTTCTGTCTAGTTTTTAAGTGAAGATATTTCCTTTTCCTCCATAGGCCTCAAAGCGCTCCAAATATCCTCTAGCAGATTCCACAAAAGAGTGTTTCAAAACTGCTTAATCAAAAGAAATGTTCAACTCTGTGAGAGGAATGCACACATCACAAATAAGTTTCTCAGAATGTTTCCTCTAGTTTTTATGTGAAGATATTTCCTTTTCCACCATAGTCCTCAAAGTGCTCCAAATATCCACTGGCTGATTCTCCGAAAAGAGCATTTCAAAACTGCTCAATCAAAAGAAATTTTCAATCTGTGAGATGAATGTGCACATCACAAAGAAGTTTGTCAGAATGCTTCCGTGTAGCTTTTATGTGCATTTATTCCCTTTTCCACAATAGGCCTCAAGTGGCTCCAAATGTCCACTTGCAGATTCTACAAAAAGAGAGTTTCAAAACTGCTCAGTCAAAAGAAATGTTAAACTCTCTCTGATGAATGCACACATCACAAAGAAGTTTCTCAGAATGCTTCCATCAAGTTTTTATGTGGAGATATTTCCTTTCTAGCATCGACCCCTAAGCACTCCAAATATCCACTTACAGATCCTTCAAAAAGTGTGTTTCAAAACTGCTGAATCAAAAGAAAGGTTCAACTCTGTGAGTTGAATGCACATATCAGAAAGAAGTTTCTCAGAATGCTTCTGTCTCGTTTATATGTGAAGGTATTTCCTTTTCCGTCAAACTCATCAAAGCGTTCCAAATATTCACTTGCACATTCTACAAAAAGAGTGTATCAAATCTGCTCAAGGAAAAGAATGGTTCAATTTGGTGAGATAAATGAACACATCACGAGGAAGTTTTGCAGAATGCTTCTGTCTAGTTTTTCTGTGAAAATATTGCCTTTACTACCATAGGACACAATCGCTCCAAATATCTATTTCAGATTCAAAAAAAAGGGTGTTTCAATATTGCTCGATGAAAGGAAAGATTCAACCCGGTGAGATGAACGCACATATCACAAAGAAGTTTCTCAGAAAGCTTCTGTCTAGCTTTTATGTGAAGATATTTCCTTTTAAACCATAGGCCACAATTCGCTCCAAATATCCACTTGCAGATTTATCAAAAAGACTGTTTCAAAACCCTCAATCAAAAGAAAGTTTCAACACTGTGAGATGAATGCACACACTAAAAAGAAGTTTCTCCGAATGCTTCTGTCTAGTTTTTATGTGAAGATATTCCCTTTTCCACCACAGGCCTGAAAGCACTCCAAATATTCACTTGCAGATTCTACAAAAAGAGTATTTCAAAACAGCTCCATCAAAAGAATGGTTCCGCTTGGTGAGATGAATGCACACATCACAAAGAAGTTTCTCAGAGTGCTTCTGTCTAGTTTTTACGTGAAGATATTTCCTTTTCCACCATAGACCACAAATCGCTCCAAATATCCACTTGCATATACAACAAAAAGAGTGTTTCAAAACTGCTCAATCAAAAGAAAGGTTCAACTCTGTGAGATGAATGCACACATCACAAAGTAGTTTCTCAGATTGCTTCTGTCTAGTTTTTATGTGAAGATATTTATTTTCCACCATAGGCCGCAAAGCGCTCCAAATATTCACTTGCAGATTCTAGAAAAAGAGTGTTTCAAAAGGCTAAATGAAAAGAAAGGTTCAACTCTGTGATATATATGCACACGTCACAAAGAAGTTTCTCAGAATGCTTCTGTCTACTATTTATGTGAAGGTATTTCCTTTTCCAAAATATGCCCCAAAGCGCTCCTATTATCCACAGGCAGATTCTACAAAAAGAGTGTCTCAAAACTTCTCAATCGAAAGAAAATTTCAACCCTGTGAGATGAATGCAAACATCACAAAGAAGTTTCTCAGAATGCTTCTGTCTAGTTTTTAAGTGAAGATATTTCCTTTTCCTCCATAGGCCTCAAAGCGCTCCAAATATCCTCTAGCAGATTCCACAAAAGGGTGTTTCAAAACTGCTTAATCAAAAGAAATGTTCAACTCTGTGAGAGGAATGCACACATCACAAATAAGTTTCTCAGAATGTTTCCTCTAGTTTTTATGTGAAGATATTTCCTTTTCCACCATAGTCCTCAAAGTGCTCCAAATATCCACTGGCTGATTCTCCGAAAAGAGCATTTCAAAACTGCTCAATCAAAAGAAATTTTCAATCTGTGAGATGAATGTGCACATCACAAAGAAGTTTGTCAGAATGCTTCCGTGTAGCTTTTATGTGCATTTATTCCCTTTTCCACAATAGGCCTCAAGTGGCTCCAAATGTCCACTTGCAGATTCTACAAAAAGAGAGTTTCAAAACTGCTCAGTCAAAAGAAATGTTAAACTCTCTCTGATGAATGCACACATCACAAAGAAGTTTCTCAGAATGCTTCCATCAAGTTTTTATGTGGAGATATTTCCTTTCTAGCATCGACCCCTAAGCACTCCAAATATCCACTTACAGATCCTTCAAAAAGTGTGTTTCAAAACTGCTGAATCAAAAGAAAGGTTCAACTCTGTGAGTTGAATGCACATATCAGAAAGAAGTTTCTCAGAATGCTTCTGTCTCGTTTATATGTGAAGGTATTTCCTTTTCCGTCAAACTCATCAAAGCGTTCCAAATATTCACTTGCACATTCTACAAAAAGAGTGTATCAAATCTGCTCAAGGAAAAGAATGGTTCAATTTGGTGAGATAAATGAACACATCACGAGGAAGTTTTGCAGAATGCTTCTGTCTAGTTTTTCTGTGAAAATATTGCCTTTACTACCATAGGACACAATCGCTCCAAATATCTATTTCAGATTCAAAGAAAAGGGTGTTTCAATATTGCTCGATGAAAGGAAAGATTCAACCCGGTGAGATGAACGCACATATCACAAAGAAGTTTCTCAGAAAGCTTCTGTCTAGCTTTTATGTGAAGATATTTCCTTTTAAACCATAGGCCACAATTCGCTCCAAATATCCACTTGCAGATTTATCAAAAAGACTGTTTCAAAACCCTCAATCAAAAGAAAGTTTCAACACTGTGAGATGAATGCACACACTAAAAAGAAGTTTCTCCGAATGCTTCTGTCTAGTTTTTATGTGAAGATATTTCCTTTTCCACCACAGGCCTGAAAGCACTCCAAATATTCACTTGCAGATTCTACAAAAAGAGTATTTCAAAACAGCTCCATCAAAAGAATGGTTCCGCTTGGTGAGATGAATGCACACATCACAAAGAAGTTTCTCAGAGTGCTTCTGTCTAGTTTTTACGTGAAGATATTTCCTTTTCCACCATAGACCACAAATCGCTCCAAATATCCACTTGCATATACAACAAAAAGAGTGTTTCAAAACTGCTCAATCAAAAGAAAGGTTCAACTCTGTGAGATGAATGCACACATCACAAAGTAGTTTCTCAGATTGCTTCTGTCTAGTTTTTATGTGAAGATATTTATTTTCCACCATAGGCCGCAAAGCGCTCCAAATATTCACTTGCAGATTCTAGAAAAAGAGTGTTTCAAAAGGCTAAATGAAAAGAAAGGTTCAACTCTGTGATATATATGCACACGTCACAAAGAAGTTTCTCAGAATGCTTCTGTCTACTATTTATGTGAAGGTATTTCCTTTTCCAAAATATGCCCCAAAGCGCTCCTATTATCCACAGGCAGATTCTACAAAAAGAGTGTCTCAAAACTTCTCAATCAAAAGAAAATTTCAACCCTGTGAGATGAATGCAAACATCACAAAGAAGTTTCTCAGAATGCTTCTGTCTAGTTTTTAAGTGAAGATATTTCCTTTTCCTCCATAGGCCTCAAAGCGCTCCAAATATCCTCTAGCAGATTCCACAAAAGAGTGTTTCAAAACTGCTTAATCAAAAGAAATGTTCAACTCTGTGAGAGGAATGCACACATCACAAATAAGTTTCTCAGAATGTTTCCTCTAGTTTTTATGTGAAGATATTTCCTTTTCCACCATAGTCCTCAAAGTGCTCCAAATATCCACTGGCTGATTCTCCGAAAAGAGCATTTCAAAACTGCTCAATCAAAAGAAATTTTCAATCTGTGAGATGAATGTGCACATCACAAAGAAGTTTGTCAGAATGCTTCCGTGTAGCTTTTATGTGCATTTATTCCCTTTTCCACAATAGGCCTCAAGTGGCTCCAAATGTCCACTTGCAGATTCTACAAAAAGAGAGTTTCAAAACTGCTCAGTCAAAAGAAATGTTAAACTCTCTCTGATGAATGCACACATCACAAAGAAGTTTCTCAGAATGCTTCCATCAAGTTTTTATGTGGAGATATTTCCTTTCTAGCATCGACCCCTAAGCACTCCAAATATCCACTTACAGATCCTTCAAAAAGTGTGTTTCAAAACTGCTGAATCAAAAGAAAGGTTCAACTCTGTGAGTTGAATGCACATATCAGAAAGAAGTTTCTCAGAATGCTTCTGTCTCGTTTATATGTGAAGGTATTTCCTTTTCCGTCAAACTCATCAAAGCGTTCCAAATATTCACTTGCACATTCTACAAAAAGAGTGTATCAAATCTGCTCAAGGAAAAGAATGGTTCAATTTGGTGAGATAAATGAACACATCACGAGGAAGTTTTGCAGAATGCTTCTGTCTAGTTTTTCTGTGAAAATATTGCCTTTACTACCATAGGACACAATCGCTCCAAATATCTATTTCAGATTCAAAAAAAAGGGTGTTTCAATATTGCTCGATGAAAGGAAAGATTCAACCCGGTGAGATGAACGCACATATCACAAAGAAGTTTCTCAGAAAGCTTCTGTCTAGCTTTTATGTGAAGATATTTCCTTTTAAACCATAGGCCACAATTCGCTCCAAATATCCACTTGCAGATTTATCAAAAAGACTGTTTCAAAACCCTCAATCAAAAGAAAGTTTCAACACTGTGAGATGAATGCACACACTAAAAAGAAGTTTCTCCGAATGCTTCTGTCTAGTTTTTATGTGAAGATATTTCCTTTTCCACCACAGGCCTGAAAGCACTCCAAATATTCACTTGCAGATTCTACAAAAAGAGTATTTCAAAACAGCTCCATCAAAAGAATGGTTCCGCTTGGTGAGATGAATGCACACATCACAAAGAAGTTTCTCAGAGTGCTTCTGTCTAGTTTTTATGTGAAGATATTTCCTTTTCCACCAGAGACCACAAATCGCTCCAAAAACCCACTTGCATATACAACAAAAAGAGTGTTTCAAAACTGCTCAATCAAAAGAAAGGTTCAACTCTGTGAGATGAAGGCACTTATCACAGAGAAGTTTCTCAGAATGCTTCTGTCTAGTTTATATGTGAAGATATTTCCTTTTCCACGATAGACCTCAAACCGCTTCAAATATCCATTTACAGATACTACAAAAAGAGTGTTTCAAAACTGTTCAATCAAAAGAAAGGTTCAAATCTGTGAGTTGAATGCACAGATTGCCAAAAATTTCTCAGAATGCTTCTGTCTACTATTTATGTGAAGGTATTTCCTTTTCCAAAATATGCCCCAAAGCGCTCCTATTATCCACAGGCAGATTCTACAAAAAGAGTGTCTCAAAACTTCTCAATCAAAAGAAAATTTCAACCCTGTGAGATGAATGCAAACATCACAAAGAAGTTTCTCAGAATGCTTCTGTCTAGTTTTTAAGTGAAGATATTTCCTTTTCCTCCATAGGCCTCAAAGCGCTCCAAATATCCTCTAGCAGATTCCACAAAAGAGTGTTTCAAAACTGCTTAATCAAAAGAAATGTTCAACTCTGTGAGAGGAATGCACACATCACAAATAAGTTTCTCAGAATGTTTCCTCTAGTTTTTATGTGAAGATATTTCCTTTTCCACCATAGTCCTCAAAGTGCTCCAAATATCCACTGGCTGATTCTCCGAAAAGAGCATTTCAAAACTGCTCAATCAAAAGAAATTTTCAATCTGTGAGATGAATGTGCACATCACAAAGAAGTTTGTCAGAATGCTTCCGTGTAGCTTTTATGTGCATTTATTCCCTTTTCCACAATAGGCCTCAAGTGGCTCCAAATGTCCACTTGCAGATTCTACAAAAAGAGAGTTTCAAAACTGCTCAGTCAAAAGAAATGTTAAACTCTCTCTGATGAATGCACACATCACAAAGAAGTTTCTCAGAATGCTTCCATCAAGTTTTTATGTGGAGATATTTCCTTTCTAGCATCGACCCCTAAGCACTCCAAATATCCACTTACAGATCCTTCAAAAAGTGTGTTTCAAAACTGCTGAATCAAAAGAAAGGTTCAACTCTGTGAGTTGAATGCACATATCAGAAAGAAGTTTCTCAGAATGCTTCTGTCTCGTTTATATGTGAAGGTATTTCCTTTTCCGTCAAACTCATCAAAGCGTTCCAAATATTCACTTGCACATTCTACAAAAAGAGTGTATCAAATCTGCTCAAGGAAAAGAATGGTTCAATTTGGTGAGATAAATGAACACATCACGAGGAAGTTTTGCAGAATGCTTCTGTCTAGTTTTTCTGTGAAAATATTGCCTTTACTACCATAGGACACAATCGCTCCAAATATCTATTTCAGATTCAAAGAAAAGGGTGTTTCAATATTGCTCGATGAAAGGAAAGATTCAACCCGGTGAGATGAACGCACATATCACAAAGAAGTTTCTCAGAAAGCTTCTGTCTAGCTTTTATGTGAAGATATTTCCTTTTAAACCATAGGCCACAATTCGCTCCAAATATCCACTTGCAGATTTATCAAAAAGACTGTTTCAAAACCCTCAATCAAAAGAAAGTTTCAACACTGTGAGATGAATGCACACACTAAAAAGAAGTTTCTCCGAATGCTTCTGTCTAGTTTTTATGTGAAGATATTTCCTTTTCCACCACAGGCCTGAAAGCACTCCAAATATTCACTTGCAGATTCTACAAAAAGAGTATTTCAAAACAGCTCCATCAAAAGAATGGTTCCGCTTGGTGAGATGAATGCACACATCACAAAGAAGTTTCTCAGAGTGCTTCTGTCTAGTTTTTATGTGAAGATATTTCCTTTTCCACCATAGGAGGCAAAAAGCTCCAAATATACACTTGCAGATGGTACAAAAAGAGTGTTTCAAAACTACTCGATCAAAAGAAAGGTTCAACTCTGTGAGATGAGTGCACACATCACAGAGAAGTTTCTCAGAATGCTTTCATCCATGTCCCTAAAAAGGATATGAACTCATCATTTTTTATGGCTGCATAGTATTCCATGGTGTATATAGACTGGATTAAGAAGATTTAGCAGTTTTTAAAAAATCTTTTTGTAGTGCCTGCAAGGGGATATTTGGAGCGTTTTGGGGCCTATTGTGGAAAAGGAACTATCTTCACATAAAAACTAGACAGA
>NC_000020.11:28652460-28654456 GCF_000001405.40 Homo sapiens | reverse complement strand
TCTGTCTACTATTTATGTGAAGGTATTTCCTTTTCCAAAATATGCCCCAAAGCGCTCCTATTATCCACAGGCAGATTCTACAAAAAGAGTGTCTCAAAACTTCTCAATCAAAAGAAAATTTCAACCCTGTGAGATGAATGCAAACATCACAAAGAAGTTTCTCAGAATGCTTCTGTCTAGTTTTTAAGTGAAGATATTTCCTTTTCCTCCATAGGCCTCAAAGCGCTCCAAATATCCTCTAGCAGATTCCACAAAAGAGTGTTTCAAAACTGCTTAATCAAAAGAAATGTTCAACTCTGTGAGAGGAATGCACACATCACAAATAAGTTTCTCAGAATGTTTCCTCTAGTTTTTATGTGAAGATATTTCCTTTTCCACCATAGTCCTCAAAGTGCTCCAAATATCCACTGGCTGATTCTCCGAAAAGAGCATTTCAAAACTGCTCAATCAAAAGAAATTTTCAATCTGTGAGATGAATGTGCACATCACAAAGAAGTTTGTCAGAATGCTTCCGTGTAGCTTTTATGTGAATTTATTCCCTTTTCCACAATAGGCCTCAAGTGGCTCCAAATGTCCACTTGCAGATTCTACAAAAAGAGAGTTTCAAAACTGCTCAGTCAAAAGAAATGTTAAACTCTCTCTGATGAATGCACACATCACAAAGAAGTTTCTCAGAATGCTTCCATCAAGTTTTTATGTGGAGATATTTCCTTTCTAGCATCGACCCCTAAGCACTCCAAATATCCACTTACAGATCCTTCAAAAAGTGTGTTTCAAAACTGCTGAATCAAAAGAAAGGTTCAACTCTGTGAGTTGAATGCACATATCAGAAAGAAGTTTCTCAGAATGCTTCTGTCTCGTTTATATGTGAAGGTATTTCCTTTTCCGTCAAACTCATCAAAGCGTTCCAAATATTCACTTGCACATTCTACAAAAAGAGTGTATCAAATCTGCTCAAGGAAAAGAATGGTTCAATTTGGTGAGATAAATGAACACATCACGAGGAAGTTTTGCAGAATGCTTCTGTCTAGTTTTTCTGTGAAAATATTGCCTTTACTACCATAGGACACAATCGCTCCAAATATCTATTTCAGATTCAAAGAAAAGGGTGTTTCAATATTGCTCGATGAAAGGAAAGATTCAACCCGGTGAGATGAACGCACGTATCACAAAGAAGTTTCTCAGAAAGCTTCTGTCTAGCTTTTATGTGAAGATATTTCCTTTTAAACCATAGGCCACAATTCGCTCCAAATATCCACTTGCAGATTTATCAAAAAGACTGTTTCAAAACCCTCAATCAAAAGAAAGTTTCAACACTGTGAGATGAATGCACACACTAAAAAGAAGTTTCTCCGAATGCTTCTGTCTAGTTTTTATGTGAAGATATTTCCTTTTCCACCACAGGCCTGAAAGCACTCCAAATATCCACTTGCAGATTCTACAAAAAGAGTATTTCAAAACAGCTCCATCAAAAGAATGGTTCATCTTGGTGAGATGAATGCACACATCACAAAGAAGTTTCTCAGAGTGTTTCTGTCTAGTTTTTATGTGAAGATATTTCCTTTTCCACCATAGGAGGCAAAACGCTCCAAATATACACTTGCAGATGGTACAAAAAGAGTGTTTCAAAACTACTCGATCAAAAGAAAGGTTCAACTCTGTGAGATGAGTGCACACATCACAAGAGAAGTTTCTCAGAATGCTTCCATGTGATCTCATTTTCAATTCCCACCTATGAGTGAGAATATGCGGTGTTTGGTTTTTTGTTTTGCGATAGTTTACTGAGAATGATGACTTCCAATTTCATCCATGTCCCTAAAAAGGATATGAACTCATCATTTTTTATGGCTGCATAGTATTCCATGGTGCATATAGACTGGATTAAGAAGATTTAGCAGTTTTTAAAAAATCTTTTGTAGTGTTTGCAAGGGGATATTTGGAGCGTTTTGGGGCCTATTGTGGAAAAGGAACTATCTTCACATAAAAACTAGACAGA
>NC_000020.11:28650252-28652360 GCF_000001405.40 Homo sapiens | reverse complement strand
TCTGTCTACTATTTATGTGAAGGTATTTCCTTTTCCAAAATATGCCCCAAAGCGCTCCTATTATCCACAGGCAGATTCTACAAAAAGAGTGTCTCAAAACTTCTCAATCAAAAGAAAATTTCAACCCTGTGAGATGAATGCAAACATCACAAAGAAGTTTCTCAGAATGCTTCTGTCTAGTTTTTAAGTGAAGATATTTCCTTTTCCTCCATAGGCCTCAAAGCGCTCCAAATATCCTCTAGCAGATTCCACAAAAGAGTGTTTCAAAACTGCTTAATCAAAAGAAATGTTCAACTCTGTGAGAGGAATGCACACATCACAAATAAGTTTCTCAGAATGTTTCCTCTAGTTTTTATGTGAAGATATTTCCTTTTCCACCATAGTCCTCAAAGTGCTCCAAATATCCACTGGCTGATTCTCCGAAAAGAGCATTTCAAAACTGCTCAATCAAAAGAAATTTTCAATCTGTGAGATGAATGTGCACATCACAAAGAAGTTTGTCAGAATGCTTCCGTGTAGCTTTTATGTGCATTTATTCCCTTTTCCACAATAGGCCTCAAGTGGCTCCAAATGTCCACTTGCAGATTCTACAAAAAGAGAGTTTCAAAACTGCTCAGTCAAAAGAAATGTTAAACTCTCTCTGATGAATGCACACATCACAAAGAAGTTTCTCAGAATGCTTCCATCAAGTTTTTATGTGGAGATATTTCCTTTCTAGCATCGACCCCTAAGCACTCCAAATATCCACTTACAGATCCTTCAAAAAGTGTGTTTCAAAACTGCTGAATCAAAAGAAAGGTTCAACTCTGTGAGTTGAATGCACATATCAGAAAGAAGTTTCTCAGAATGCTTCTGTCTCGTTTATATGTGAAGGTATTTCCTTTTCCGTCAAACTCATCAAAGCGTTCCAAATATTCACTTGCACATTCTACAAAAAGAGTGTATCAAATCTGCTCAAGGAAAAGAATGGTTCAATTTGGTGAGATAAATGAACACATCACGAGGAAGTTTTGCAGAATGCTTCTGTCTAGTTTTTCTGTGAAAATATTGCCTTTACTACCATAGGACACAATCGCTCCAAATATCTATTTCAGATTCAAAGAAAAGGGTGTTTCAATATTGCTCGATGAAAGGAAAGATTCAACCCGGTGAGATGAACGCACATATCACAAAGAAGTTTCTCAGAAAGCTTCTGTCTAGCTTTTATGTGAAGATATTTCCTTTTAAACCATAGGCCACAATTCGCTCCAAATATCCACTTGCAGATTTATCAAAAAGACTGTTTCAAAACCCTCAATCAAAAGAAAGTTTCAACACTGTGAGATGAATGCACACACTAAAAAGAAGTTTCTCCGAATGCTTCTGTCTAGTTTTTATGTGAAGATATTTCCTTTTCCACCACAGGCCTGAAAGCACTCCAAATATCCACTTGCAGATTCTACAAAAAGAGTATTTCAAAACAGCTCCATCAAAAGAATGGTTAAGCTTGGTGAGATGAATGCACACATCACAAAGAAGTTTCTCAGAGTGTTTCCGTCTAGTTTTTATGTGAAGATATTTCCTTTTCAACCATAGACCACAAATCGCTCCAAATACCCACTTGCATATACAACAAAAATAGTGTTTCAAAACTGCTCAATCAAAAGAAAGGTTCAACTCTGTGAGATGAAGGCACTTATCACAGAGAAGTTTCTCAGAATGCTTCTGTCTAGTTTATATGTGAAGATATTTCCTTTGCCAAGATAGACCTCAAACCGCTTCAAATATCCATTTACAGATACTACAAAAAGAGTGTTTCAAAACTGTTCAATCAAAAGAAAGGCTGAAATCTGTGAGTTGAATGCACAGATCACCAAAAGTTTCTCAGAATGCTCTTCTGTCTAGTTTTTATGTGAAGATAGTTCCTTTTCCACAATAGGCCCCAAAACGCTCCAAATATCCCCTTGCAGATACTACAAAAAGATGCTTTAAAAACTGCTCAATCTTCTTAATCCAGTCTATATACACCATGGAATACTATGAAGCCATAAAAAGTGATGAGTTCATAACCTTTTTAGGGACATGGATGAAATTGGAAGTCATCATTCTCAGTAAACTATCGCAAGAAC
>NC_000020.11:28648108-28650152 GCF_000001405.40 Homo sapiens | reverse complement strand
TTTGTCTACTATTTATGTGAAGGTATTTCCTTTTCCAAAATATGCCCCAAAGTACTCCTATTATCCACAGGCAGATTCTACAAAAAGAGTGTCTCAAAATTGCTCAATCAAAAGAAAATTTCAACTCTGTGAGATGAATGCAAACATCACAAAGAAGTTTCTCAGAATGCTTCCTCTAGTTTTTATGTGAAGATATTTCCTTTTCCACCATAGTCCTCAAAGTGCTCCAAATATCCACTGGCTGATTCTCCGAAAAGAGCATTTCAAAACTGCTCAATCAAAAGAAATTTTCAATCTGTGAGATGAATGTGCACATCACAAAGAAGTTTGTCAGAATGCTTCCGTGTAGCTTTTATGTGCATTTATTCCCTTTTCCACAATAGGCCTCAAGTGGCTCCAAATGTCCACTTGCAGATTCTACAAAAAGAGAGTTTCAAAACTGCTCAGTCAAAAGAAATGTTAAACTCTCTCTGATGAATGCACACATCACAAAGAAGTTTCTCAGAATGCTTCTGTCAAGTTTTTTATGTGGAGATATTTCCATTCCACCATCGGCCCCTAAGCACTCCAAATAGCCACTTACAGATTCTTCAAAAAGCGTGTTTCAAAACTGCTGAATCAAAAGAAAGGTTCAACTCAGTGAGTTGAATGCACATATCAGAAAGAAGTTTCTCAGAATGCTTCTGTCTCGTTTATATGTGAAGGTATTTCCTTTTCCGTCAAACTCATCAAAGCGTTCCAAATATTCACTTGCACATTCTACAAAAAGAGTGTATCAAATCTGCTCAAGGAAAAGAATGGTTCAATTTGGTGAGATAAATGAACACATCACGAGGAAGTTTTGCAGAATGCTTCTGTCTAGTTTTTCTGTGAAAATATTGCCTTTACTACCATAGGACACAATCGCTCCAAATATCTATTTCAGATTCAAAGAAAAGGGTGTTTCAATATTGCTCGATGAAAGGAAAGATTCAACCCGGTGAGATGAACGCACATATCACAAAGAAGTTTCTCAGAAAGCTTCTGTCTAGCTTTTATGTGAAGATATTTCCTTTTAAACCATAGGCCACAATTCGCTCCAAATATCCACTTGCAGATTTATCAAAAAGACTGTTTCAAAACCCTCAATCAAAAGAAAGTTTCAACACTGTGAGATGAATGCACACACTAAAAAGAAGTTTCTCCGAATGCTTCTGTCTAGTTTTTATGTGAAGATACTTCCTTTTCCACCACAGGCCTGAAAGCACTCCAAATATTCACTTGCAGATTCTACAAAAAGAGTATTTCAAAACAGCTCCATCAAAAGAATGGTTCCGCTTGGTGAGATGAATGCACACATCACAAAGAAGTTTCTCAGAGTGCTTCTGTCTAGTTTTTACGTGAAGATATTTCCTTTTCCACCATAGACCACAAATCGCTCCAAATATCCACTTGCATATACAACAAAAAGAGTGTTTCAAAACTGCTCAATCAAAAGAAAGGTTCACCTCTGTGAGATGAATGCACACATCACAAAGTAGTTTCTCAGATTGCTTCTGTCTAGTTTTTATGTGAAGATATTTATTTTCCACCATAGGCCGCAAAGCGCTCCAAATATCCACTTGCAGATTCTACAAAAAGAGTGTTTCAAAAGGCTAAATGAAAAGAAAGGTTCAACTCTGTGATATATATGCACACATCACAAAGAAGTTTCTCAGAATGCTTTTGTCTACTATTTATGTGAAGGTATTTCCTTTTCCAAAATATGCCCCAAAGCACTCCTATTATCCACAAGCAGATTCTACAAAAAGAGTGTCTCAAAATTGCTCAATCAAAAGAAAATTTCAACTCTGTGAGATGAATGCAAACATCACAAAGAAGTTTCTCAGAATGCTTCTGTCTAGTTTTTAAGTGAAGATATTTCCTTTTCCTCCATAGGCCTCAAAGCGCTCCAAATATCCTCTAGCAGATTCCACAAAAGGGTGTTTCAAAACTGCTTAATCAAAAGAAATGTTCAACTCTGTGAGAGGAATGCACACATCACAAATAAGTTTCTCAGAATGTT
>NC_000020.11:28646295-28648008 GCF_000001405.40 Homo sapiens | reverse complement strand
AAAGGAACCCTATGTCTTTGTCTGCTCAGGCTGCTTCTACAAACAACTGTAGACTGCGTGGTTTAAACAGCACATACTTGTTTCTCACAGTTGTGGGAATTCAAAGATTAAAATCTGGGCCAGCAGAGCCAGTGTCTGGTGAAGGCCCTCTTACTGGTTTGCAGGTGTTCTTGTTGTATCTTCAGATGGCTGAGTGAAGAGGGCTCTAGTCTTCTACTCTTCTTATTAGGATGTTAACCCCATTGTGGGAACTCCATCCTCATCAAAACCAAATTACTTCCCAAAGGTCCTCCTTCTAATGCCATTCTATTGTTAGAGTTTCAACATGTGCATTTGTTGATGCAAACATGCAGTGCACAGTATCTTATCTAATCAAGTCAGTTGTCCCTTGAATAAAATTCTAGCTCCTATAACAAGACTTCAAATTATGACTTGGTTGTTGCCAAAACTATCTATCTGGATTTGCTAGAAATCAAACGTACTTGAATATTTCCTCTAAAGATTTTCTCATTCCTACCCTATTGTGTATATTTACAGAATTCTTAAATAATTACATACTCAAGGCTTCTATTAGCTCTGACAAGAGCTTCTATTAGCTTTGACTATTGCAAGCAGCTTTATAGCACTGTAGGTAAAAGCATGTGCTTTGAAATCATACAATAAATTTATTGAATGCTAAGCACTTTATATTCACTATTTAATTTTATCATCTTAATAACCTTCATTATTACCTCCATTAAACCCTATTTGTTGGCTACTTATTTTATTCTGATTTTGCAAATCTAAATTTGAGAGGCTTTCCCAATGTCACATAAGTTAATAAGTGGCATAGCTGGGGTTTGAATTAAAGTCTACCTGATTCCAAGATCTATTTACCATTGTTCTACAATTTGTAGTTTTTAGGTCCCTGAGAATGCTAACAGCCTTTCTTTTGAAATCTGCATTATTTCTGGATAGCAGCTTTATTAATACGTGATTACAGTACCATATTTCAGGCAACAAAATTCTTTGAAATCTTTCATTTCCATAGTGAGATAAGGATCAGTTCTGTGGTATTGTCAGCCAGAAAACATCATTTGGAGACTATCTTGTAGAAGACACAGCTGGGGGCCTGCGGAGGACAGAAAGCTCACAGCTTCTGTCAATACCCCTTTCACTTCCTCTTCAAGGAGATTGACCTCTGTGGTTCGTCAAGCTTAAGGATCTTTTATGGGCCACAGCTAATGGTGAAATCTTCCTAACTCTAGGTGAAGATTAATGGGCAAGTTGGAGAGTTAAGGTAGCTTATGGCTGCTCCTTTTAGAAAAAGTCTGATCATTGCTCTCTTATTTGTGAAACCCCTCTGTTCCCCCAAATGCTTGGTAAGACATTCCTGAAGACCAATCCTGTGTCAGTAGACTTCATATCCACTCTCTTCTACCAATCACACAACTACAGACAAATAAGAAAAATAAAGCAAAGCTCAGACACACTCCCCTGGCACGGAGGCCACTCTCTGGCTGGCTGCTTTTCTCTACCATGCTGCATCCTGGGCATTTGGCTCTTTCTTAGATCAAACAGAGACATGGGTTTGGGATTAAAGAGAAGTAGGTGAAAGGGGTCTCTGGCCTGTTTTGGCATTAGACCAAGTTAACAACAGAATTCTGGCTTAAGCTCAGTTCTGTAGAGCTTTCTCTGTGTTTGGGGAAAATCTCCGATAGTAATGAAAAGGTA
>NC_000020.11:28557053-28646195 GCF_000001405.40 Homo sapiens | reverse complement strand
TTTTTGTAGAGTCTGCAGTGCATATTTGGATAGCTTTGAGGATTTCATTGGAAACGGGAATATCTTCCCATAAAAACTAGAAAGAAGCATTCTCATAAACTTCTTTGTGATGCTTGCATTCAACTCACTGAGTTGAACATTCCCTTTCATACAGCAGTTTTCAAACACTCTTTTTGTAGTATCTGGAAGTGGACCTTTGGAGCGCTTTGAGGCCTAGGGTGAAAAAGGAAATATCCTCACCTAAAAACTAGACAGAAGCATTCTCAGAAACTTCTTTGTGATGTGTGTAGTCAACTCACAGAGTTGAACCTTTCTTTTGATACAGCACTTTTGAAACACTCTTTTTGTAGAATCTGCAAGTGGTTATTTGGATAGCTTTGAGGCTTTGATAGGAAACGGGAATATCTTCACAGAAAAACTAGACAGAAGCATTCTCAGAAACTTCTTTATGAAGTTTGCATTCAACTCACAGAGTTGAAGTTTCCGTTCCATACAGCAGTTTTGAAACTCTCTTTTTCTAGAATCTGTAAGTGGAAACTTGGAGCGCTTCTAGGCCTATGGTGGAAAAGGGAATATCTTCCCATAAAAAGTAGACAGAAGAATTCTCAGTAACTACTTTGTGATGTGTGTACTCAACTCACAGAGTTGAACTTTTCTTTTGAAAGAGAAGTTTTGAAACACTCTTTTTGTAGAATCTGCAAATGGGTATTTAGCCTGCTTTGAGGCCTTCATTGGAAACGGGAATATCTTCACATAAAACTAGACAGAAGCATTCTCAGAAACTTCGTTGTGATGTGTGCATTCAACTCCCAGAGTTGGAGCTCTCTTTTGATAGAGCAGTTCTGAAACAATCTTTTTGTGGTATCTGGAAGTGGACGTTTGGAGCGATGCGAGGCCTATGGTGAAAAAGGCAATATCTTCACCTAAAAATTCGACAGAAGCATTCTCAGAAACTGCTTTGTGATATGTGTAGTCAACTCACGGATTTGAAACGTGGTTTTGATGCAGCAGTTTTGAAACACTCTTTTTGTTAGAATCTTCAAGTGGATATTTGGATAGCTTTGAGGCTTTCATTGGAAACGGGAATATCTACACATAAGAACTAGACAGAAGCATTCTCAGAAAGTTCTTTATGAAGTTCGCATTCAACTCACAGAGTTGTACCTTCCTTTTCACACAGCAGTTTTGAGACATTCTTTTTGTAGAATCTGCAAGTGGACATTTGGAGTGATTTGAGACTTAGGGTGAAAAAGGGATATCTTCCCATAAAAAGTTGACAGAAGCATTCTCAGAAACGACTTTCTGATTTGTGTACTCAACTCACAGAGTTAAACCTTTCCTTTGATACAGCAGTTTGGAAACACTCTTCTTGTAGAATTTGCAAGCGGATATAAGGACAGCAGTGAGGAATTCATCGGAAACGGAATATCTTCACATAAAAGTAGACAGAAGCATTCTCAGAAAGTTCTTTGTAATGTGTGCATTCAACTCACAGAGTTGAAACTTTCTTTTGATAGAGCAGATTGGAAGCCCTCTTTTTGTAGAATTTGCAAGTGGATATCTGGACAGCTTTGAGGCCTTCCCTGGAAACGAGTGTATCTTCACATAAACACTAGACAGAAGCATCCTCAGAAACTTGTTGGTGATGCTTGCATTCAACTCACAGAATTGAACATTTCTTTTCCTAGAGCAGTTTTGAAACACTCTTTTTGTAGTATCTGGAAGTGGACAGTTGGAGCACTTTGAGGCCTAGGGTGAAAAAGGAAATATCTTCACATAAAAACCAGACAGAAGCATTCTCTGAAACTTCTTGGTTATGTGTGTACTCAACTCACAGATTTGAACTTTTCTTCTCATAGATCAGATTTGAAACCCTCTTTTTGTAGTGTCTGCAAGTGCATATTTGGATAGCTTTGAGGATTTCATTGGAAACGGGAATATCTTCCCATAAAAACCAGAAAGAAGCATTCTCAGAAACTTCTTTGTGATGCTTGCATTCAATTCACAGAGTTGAACATTCCCTTTCATACAGCAGTTTTGAAACACTCTTTTTGTAGTATCTGGAAGTGGACCTTTGGAGCGCTTTGAGGCCTAGGGTGAAAAAGGAAATATCCTCACCTAAAAACTAGACAGAAGCATTCTCAGAAACTTCTTTGTGATGTGTGTAGTCAACTCATAGAGTTGAACCTTTGTTTTGATACAGCACTTTTGAAACACTCTTTTTGTAGAATCTGCAAGTGGTTATTTTGATAGCTTTGAGGCTTTGATTGGAAACGGGAATATCTTCACATAAAAACTAGACAGAAGCATTCTCAGAAACTTCTTTATGAAGTTTGCATTCAACTCACAGAGTTGAACTTTCCGTTCCATACAGCAGTTTTGAAACTCTCTTTTTCTAGAATCTGTAAGTGGAAACTTGGAGCGCTTCGAGGCCTATGGTGAAAAAGGGAATATCTTCCCATAAAAAGTAGACAGAAGAATTCTCAGTAACTACTTTGTGATGTGTGTACTCAACTCACAGAGTTGAACTTTTTTTTGAAAGAGAAGTTTTGAAACACTCTTTTCGAAATTACATCTCTGCCAACACTTTTAGTTTGCTTGTTGAATAACTACAAGGTTTCCTTTTAAATTAGTGGAATACATTATACCCATAAAATCCTGAAATACTTGGCAATACACACAACAAAATATTTTACAAATAGAGAATATAATAAATGTATGACTCTTTAGAAATTCATTGAGATAAGTTTAAACAGTGTTTACTTTTAATTGGTGTGCTTTCTTTCTTCTCACAGTAATAAGCTGTGGTTTAGTTTATCGACTGAATACTCACTATGCAGTCCTTTGTAAAATTTTGGAGGTCCGCAGTAATGTGATTATTGAGCTTCAACAGAATACACAGAAGATACAAGGAACCACAAACTAATCCATCCACTATGTAGTATCTAAAGTGTTTGCAAAAATAAAAACAAACGACAACAAATAAAGAAAACTGAACGACTGACTTGTAGCAAAGCTATCAGGTTAGTGCAAAAGTAATTGTTGTTTTGGCATTGAAAGTAATGAAAGTAATTGAAAGAATAGGTATTCTAGTTGGACATGCTACAATGCATGTCACAACCATGGATCAATTATGTATTGAAAACCCAAACCAACTGAGGATCACTGCTGTGCACTATTCCCATCTTGTCATAACGTGGCAAACTAAAACTAAGGACCTGTAACAAGGGATTTTCAGAGGGAAAGCAAACATTGGTTAAAGCAAAGAAAACTGGCAATTTTCAATTTGCTCAAATCAAACTATTCACATACTTTGTATGCTTCTCTACAAAATCCAGAACTTTTGATAGGATCACCCTTAGGTAAAACTCTAAAGTGAGCATATTCTGATCAATAGGCCGCAACTCCTTTTCCCTTCTGTATCACAGACCATGTGAGTGAATCCATCACATGACTTAATAAGATTTGGCCAGTTGGGAAAGGTCTCTTTAAAGAAGTAACACTCAGGCTGGGATCCAGAGCAAAGCACCGTAAACTTGAATGTGCATATGAACCACCTGGGGACTTTGTCAACATGCAGATTCTGATTCATTGAATCTAGGGTGGTGCCTGAGCTCTAGCAAGCTCCCAGGGATGCCTATGTGACTGCCTTGGACATCATTTACAGTAGCAAGAATATAAACAGATACCAGCCAACAAATCAGGAGTGAACACATCACGGCCGAGGCAGCCCTGTACCAGGCCAGCTCAGGGATCTGAGAAAAGTGTAACTGGACTGAGGTCTATGAGTGCTTCCATGAGAGGTGAGGCTGAGAAGGTGGACAAGATCTAGGTCAATGTGTTAAATTCGTACTAAATGCAAGGCTAGGCTCTGCATAAACAGAAATAAATAAGGCAAACCTAGTCCTTGCATCTTTAGAGCTTGCAGACTAGCAGAATTATTTCGTGGATAGAAAATCATTAAAGATTTTTAAACGAAGGAGAGACATGATCTAATTGATATTTTTGAAAAACCTCTCTGGGTGTGCCATAGAGAAGGTATTGGAGAGGCAAAAAGTTGGAAAGAGGAGTATATGTTTGCACGCCAGGTGAAAGATGCAGATGACAGAAGCGGATAATTTTAGCACATATTTTGAAGGTGAAATAACAGTACTTGGTTGCAAGTTGTGATGGTAGGGGTTGTTGCAGGAAGAAGAAAGCATCAAGGATGATGATGCTTTCTGGAAGAAGCAAATGGGTAAATGGAGATAATTTTTATGAAGAATGGTAAGGCTGAAAAAGAAATAAACTAACAAAAGAGAAATGATTGAGGAAGTGGCATAGATGTGGGGGCAGAACTCAAGAGTTTTGAAATCTGATTTTAGGAATGCCTGTGAAAATCCCAGGGGAGATTTCAAGATGGCAGGTGCACATAATGTTTTGGAGCTTGGGAGGAGAGGTCTGTAGGAGTCATATGCATATAAATGGTATCTAAAGCCATAGTAATTAATAAAACCTTGTCTAGTGTCTGTGTAGGCAGTCTGTGTCCAATCTTTTGGCTTCCCTGGCTGCATTCGAATAAGAAGAATTGTCTTGGGCCACACATAAAATATACTGATATTAACAATAGCTGATGAGCTAAAAAAAATCATAAAATATCTTATAATGCATGAAGAATGTTTACAAATTTGTGTTGGGCTGCATTCAAAGCTGTCCTGGGCCACACATGGCCCACAGACCATGGGTTGGACAAGCCTAGTATGGAATAAGAACAGAAGAGGACCCAGGTTTTAGGAACTTCAACATTTAAAGTTTGGGCAAAGAGGGAGAAGCTGATAAGAAAATAGTTCAAGCTAGAGGAAGAGGTCAGGGGTCTACCCTACTGAACGTTCCTGAGACCCCATTGGACTTATATATTACATAATATGTACAATATATGTTACTTGTGTGATGGATACCCTAATAGCTTTGAACTGACCACTATGCATGGAACAAAATTGCACATGTATCCCATAAATTTTATATAAACAAAAGTAAATAAATAGAAGGAAGGAAGGGAGAAAGAGAGAGAATGAAGGAAGGAAAGAAGGAAGGAAGAGCGAGGAAAGGAAAGGAAAGAAGGAAGGGAGAGTGAGGAAAGGAAAGGAAGGGAAAGGAAAGGAAAGGGAAGGAAAGAATGAAGGGAGAGCGAGGAAAGGAAAGGAAAGGGAGGGAAGGAAGGAAGGAAGGGAGAAAGGAAGAGGAAAGAAAGAAAGAGAGAGAGAAAGAGAGAGAAGAAAGAAAGAAAGAAAGAAAGAAAGGGAAAGAAAGAGAGAAAGAGGAATAGTGTTCATGATGTTTAGGAATCACCAATTCTGGGGGTGCTGAATTGTGTCCCCCCAGATTCCTATGTTGAAGAGCTGATCCCCACTGCCTCAGAGGGACTGATTTAGAGAAGGCATTCAAAGAAGTAAGTGAGGTCAAATGAAGCCATATGGGTGGACCCTAAACCAATATGGCAGGTGTCCATGTAAAAAGAGTTTGAGACACAGGCAACACAGACTGAGGACACAGCAGGAAGAGAGGCATCTGCAAGGCAGCAGTTCTCAGAAGAAGGCAAACCTGCTGACATTCCATCCTGGATTTCCAGTCTTCAGAGCTGTGAGAAGATAAACCACTCAATCTGTGGCAGCTTGTGATGGAAGCCCCTAGCACTCTTATATGGTGACCTTAGCACAAGCAGTTTCATAGGCTTGATGAAAGTGAAAGCCAAACTGACCTGAATAAAGAGTGAAAGGAAAATGAGCAAAAGGAGATAGTAAATGTGGAAAATCCTTGAGAAAAATTTGCCAAGAAAGGAGGAGATGGCTTGATAGCTAGAAAGACACACAGAGTCAAATTTAAGGTTCCTCCAAGATAGAAGATTTTTTAAATGAAAAATTTATATTTAAATGCTGACCGAATGCATCAAGAAGGAGAGAGATTGACGATGCAGATGACAAATGGAAAAGCAATGAACAGAATCCCTGAAAAGTCAGGAAAAGAAGGGAGATTATTAGAGGGATGTCCTTTTACAGTAAGAGGAATACTTCCTCCACTGCCCCAGGATTTAAAAAGCTTATAAATCACAGGTAACATTCTACCTAATTATAGAGCTTTATGCTTTTCAATAAATTTTGTTGTACATAATACAGTCACTCTATTAATTCAGTGAGACAGTTATCCACATTTTACGTAAAAAGAAAGAAAAGACAGAAAAGAAGTGATTTGCTTGAAGTGACACAGAAATAGCTGGTAGAACCATGCACTGTGTAGATGGCAGGGCTCCTGACTTCTCATTTCACACCAGAAATGTAGACAGAATTAGATATAATGACAGGTATTATATTTTTAAACCTTTCAAATAGGAATATCCTTAGAATTTCATTCATTAACAAAGCACAAAGCATGTGATTAGCATCTGAAAATGTTTTATTATACAATCACTAGACACCAAAAGAGATTTCCATTTTCCTGTGTATTTGAAAGAGTTCAACAGCCCTAAGTCACACAGTTGGAGGAAACTCAAACAAGGGAAGGTTCGTTTGAATTGATGAAATTAGCATGATGAAGTTTACAATACTAAGATTTTTGTTTCAAGACTCTGAGGTTTTGTAGGGAGGAAGGGGAAAGGCAGATGTCACCAAATAAGACTGGTCGGAGAGGGGATGAGAAGCATCAATTAGAAAGCTCCTCAAATTCAAATGGACCGTTCAAACCATCCTAGGACTAGACTCCAATCGGGAAAGACTCTGAAGGAAATGATCTCCTACTCCCACGAGATGGCTAACGTTATTTAGGTAAAAAGCTTTTAATTTTATGGCTGGGGAGGTAGCAATAAAGAAAATGAACCTCCTGCCAGTGATTCTTTTTCAAGCCCTGCCAATTCCTGTGTCTGGGGAAGCTATAAAGAATGCCCAGCCTCATGTCAAAAGAATTGCCACAGATCTCCAGCTCACCTGCATTCAAACATTGAAACATCCCTAAGCCTGTTCCCAGGCCAGCCTGGAACTGAGAATCCAGGAGAGTCTTTTCTGTTCTGCTGCTGCAGCTACACTATCTACTTGTTAGCATAACCAGGGCCACCAGCAACAGATGCTAGAGAAATACAGAGAGCGAAAATCAGCAGCTGATGAAAAGCAGAATCTTTTCTTTTTGGCAGCAATACCAATAGCATGAAGCACTTCCCTTTTGGAGCTTTCCAAACCACTTCAAAAGCGAGTTTTCTGGTGTGGATCAAGAAAGCTAGCCAAATTGCCCCTGAGTGCATAGTCACTGGCCAAGATATTGATGACTGTAGGCAGCTCAGGACCCATCCTCGGCCACAGTGCTGTCTTTCTCAGAGCTCTGTTTAATTCCATCAGGCACTGGCAGCATTTGCAGAAAGCTGTGTAGATTTTTGTGATCTTCAGCCAGCACAGAGGTGGCCAGTTCCCTAGCCTCCCAGCACCGTCCTTCTCCTGCCCTGCCCCTTCATGGCCTGCCTGGGCTCACTGGACCCAGACTTGCCTTTCGCAGCTGTCAAAACCTCACAGTCCTGTGTGTCTGTTTCCCTTTGAACTACACAAACTAACTAATTTGGTGAACCTATTAAGTGAACTTCTTTATACTCATGGTCTAGAGTGCATTGAACACTAAAGCGTTTGCTGGAGATTGTCAAAATCAATTCTGTCTTCTTCCAACTGGACCAAGGCTTCTTTGAGTTAATAAAACTCTGAGAAATCTGAGTTGATTTTTCATAGTACCTCTTTCTATTCTTTTGGGGTTTTTTTGTTTGTTTTTTACTTTTCATGGAGATTTTCCTTAATTTAACCCAAAAGATATACCCACATGACATTTGAATATGAAAGAGGTAGTAGGACAAAGAATTTGAAGACAGTCTTTCAGAGCCCCACAAAGTACTTGAAATTTATCAATAAACCCCTCCCGGTGCTTCCCACCATATTCCACATTCCATCTCCATTTTAAGCCATGAACCTTCAAGTGGCATCTCCTCCTGTGAAACCTACAGTTTGAAGATAAATTATTGATGACTAATGACTCAGAAGAACCAAAGAAAGGATCCTCTAGTGGAGACACAGCATAGAAATGGTGGTCCAGGGTGAGACGGAACTGCTTCCTGTCCCAGTGCAGCCTGTGTGGTTCCAGCTGTGTACTTCTCTTCCTCTAATCTTGTTTACTCGTCTCTAATACGGGACTAATAAGATATACATCAGACTATTGTGAGGGTTGAATGTAACGATATTCCAAATTGTTGCATGTGTCCAGTACTTAACATAGTGCCAAGAACAAAGCATGTATCAATAAGTATGAACAGCCTTCCCAGCGCACACCTCCAAACAGTGGATTTCTGGCCGGTGACAAGCAATGGTTCCCAGCGGTTCTACCGGTTATGGTTAAACTTACCACTAGCCAATCAGTAAGTTTGCCTCAGATCACATCACAATTCTTTTGCAAGCCTGGAGCTTGGTGAAAAACAAGGGGGAAAATAATCAATGTCCCTAAGGCAGATGCTGAAAGATTAACCTCATAACATAATTCTCTCACCAGACTTGTTTCCTGAATGTCTATTTAAATTTTAATTCTGCAAATAAAATAAAATTGGTAATAATGAAGGTGATTAAGATGGCATTTGTCCAGGGAACGAATCTCCTCACAATATATCTAAGAAAGAGATACATGTACAGAAAACGAAGCACAGTAAAATACCTTTTCATTACTATCGGAGATTTTCCCCAAACACAGAGAAAGCTCTACAGAACTGAGCTTAAGCCAGAATTCTGTTGTTAACTTGGTCTAATGCCAAAACAGGCCAGAGACCCCTTTCACCTACTTCTCTTTAATCCCAAACCCATGTCTCTGTTTGATCTAAGAAAGAGCCAAATGCCCAGGATGCAGCATGGTAGAGAAAAGCAGCCAGCCAGAGAGTGGCCTCCGTGCCAGGGGAGTGTGTCTGAGCTTTGCTTTATTTTTCTTATTTGTCTGTAGTTGTGTGATTGGTAGAAGAGAGTGGATATGAAGTCTACTGACACAGGATTGGTCTTCAGGAATGTCTTACCAAGCATTTGGGGGAACAGAGGGGTTTCACAAATAAGAGAGCAATGAACAGACTTTTTCTAAAAGGAGCAGCCATAAGCTACCTTAACTCTCCAACTTGCCCATTAATCTTCACCTAGAGTTAGGAAGATTTCACCATTAGCTGTGGTCCATAAAAGATCCTTAAGCTTGACCAGCCACAGAGGTCAATCTCCTTGAGGAGGAAGTGAAAGGGGTATTGACAGAAGCTGTGAGCTTTCTGTCCTCTGCAGGCCCCCAGCTGTGTCTTCTACTTCTTGTACAAGATAGTCTCCAAATGATGTTTTCTGGCTGACAATGCCACAGAACTGATCCTTATATCCCAATGGAAATGAAAGATTTCAAAGAATTTTGTTGCCTGAAATATGGTTATGTATTAATAAAGCTGCTATCCAGAAATAATGCAGATTTCAAAAGAAAGGCTGTTAGCATTCTCAGGGACCTAAAAACTACATATTGTAGAACAATGGTAAATAGATCTTGGAATCAGGTAGACTTTAATTCAAACCCGAGCTATGCCACTTATTAACTTATGTGACATTGGGAAAGCCTCTCAAATTTAGATTTGCAAAATCAGAATAATATAAGTAGCCAACAAATAGGGTGTTAATGAGGGTATAATGAAGGTTATTAAGATGATAACATTAAATAGTGGTTATAAAGTGCTTAGCATTCAATAAATTTATTGTATGATTTCAAAGCACATGTTTTTACCTACAGTGCTATAAAGCTGCTTGCAATAGTCAAAGCTAATAGAAGCTCTCGTCAGAGCTAATAGAAGCCTTGAGTATGTAATTATTTAAGAATTCTGTAAATATACACAATAGGGTAGGAATGAGAAAACCTTTAGAGGAAATATTCAAGTATGTTTGATTTCTAGCAAATCCAGATAGATAGTTTTGGCAACAACCAAGTCATAATTTGAAGTCTTGTTATAGGAGCTAGAATTTTATTCAAGGGACAACTGACTTGATTAGATAAGATGCTGTGCACTGCATGTTTGCATCAACAAATGCACATGTTGAAACTCTAACAATAGAATGGCATTAGAAGGAGGACCTTTGGGAAGTAATTTGGTTTTGATGAGGATGGAGTTCCCACAATGGGGTTAGCATCCTAATAAGAAGAGTAGAAGACTAGAGCCTTCTTCACTCAGCCATGTGAAGATACAACAAGAACACCTGCAAACCAGTAAGAGGGCCTTCACAAGACACTGGCTCTGCTGGCCCAGATTTTAATCTTTGAATTTCCCACAACTGTGAGAAACAAGTATGTGCTGTTTAAACCACGCAGTCTACAGTTGTTTGTAGAAGCAGCCTGAGCAGACAAAGACATAGGGTTCCTTTTATTTTCAGAATTCGGTTTAGTTGTAATCACCTACCATCCTGAGATGTTGTTTCCTCCCTCCTCCCTTGAAATATAAGCTCTGGGACTATAGCTTCATGGACAAATTCTGAAGAATTTGTCTCTGCTCTTGTGGGATGCTAACCTAACCAATCAAGGAATGTTTGCTCAATGTAA
This sequence comes from Homo sapiens, assembly GCF_000001405.40. Classification (NCBI taxonomy): domain Eukaryota; kingdom Metazoa; phylum Chordata; class Mammalia; order Primates; family Hominidae; genus Homo; species Homo sapiens. The sequence continues at coordinate 28,635,602 of NC_000020.11, read as the reverse complement.
TGAAACATCTTAATGCAGCTCGCCAGCCAATATCTGCAGAGCACACCTCATGGGTTCTGGCTGGCTTGGATTTCTGAGACTACTTCATCCTACTCATCAGACTGTGGACTCAGATTCAGCCAGGAGGCCCAGATTCTAGCGTCAGTTTTGCCCTTGGGATACAAATGCATGTCCTGCTTCACTCAACATGAAACCCTGACTATTTGGCCATTATTCTGGCAATTGTCCTCTCTCCCTGTGCCAATTGCCAATCAACCCAACTCCCAGGCAGCCTTGGCAGTTATGTTTGCTTGGCCTGCTGTAGAAGCCAATGACTTAGTAAAAGTCAGAACATAGATCTGCTAGCTCCCAGTCCAGGATTTCCCCATAACTCGTCCATGTATATATTAAACAATTAGCCTTGCTTTTAAAATTCTTTTTCATTTAGCCTCTTCTTAGAACTTATCATTTTGAGAATCCTGACCTGCCAATATTCCATAATCTTTCTGAAAGTGACACAGCAAGTACGATGCATGCACATTGCTAACTGCAGCTGATTTCATTTTCCATCATCTATAAAGCACATAAGGTAATTTCTAAACCAGCAGTAAAATCTATTTATAAAGATGCTGATTTGTTTTCTGCACTTTCCAAAACAGAGCTTCAATTTATTTCCTTACCATAAAAAACCACTACTTTTTAAAACAATCGTAGTTAGTACATTTTCTAAATGTTTTAATTTTTGTAAAATCCAACTTGCAAATTGGAGTGTAAATAGCTTTCTTAAAATGGAAGGAACTGTGTTAGACCCAGTACGCTGATTGATGACTTCACAGTGCTTCAAAGTAGATGATTTCACAGTCATTGGGTATATAATGCAATGAGTTTTTATAAAGCAATTGATATCACTAAAAATATAATTATAATAAATAAAATTATAGGGAAAAGGAAATCGTCACTCTGACAATGCCAATTTTTTTAACTAACTCATTGCTAAAAGATTATGTTTCTACATGAAAAATTTTACACATTCTTTCTATGAGATAAACCTGATAACATCTTGAAAACTTAATAGTTATGGAAAAGGAACTACTGTGATTTTTTTTAGAGAATGTCGTGTTCTTGATGTTCTTGAGTGAGCTGTCTCATGTTATTAGAAGGGAAACAGCAGCACCTTGTGCACAAACAAATAAAGTGAACAAATTTTTAGGACCCGGTGCAGTGGTTCAGGCCTGTAATCCCAGCACTTTGGGAGACCTGGGCGGAGGGTAACTTGAGCCCAAGAGTTCAAGACCAGCCTGGGCAACACAGTGACACGCCGATCTTTACCAAAAATTGAAAAATTCTCTGGGCTTTGTGGCTCATACCTCAGGTCCCAGCTACTTGGAAGGCTGAGGTGGGAGGATCACTTAAGCCCAGCAGGTCAAGGCTGCAGTGAGTGTGATCATACCACTGCATTCCAGCCTGGGTGACACAGCAAGACCCTATTTCAAAAAAAATTATATTTATGTAGCACTTTCTACAAGGAATACAGTATCATGTTTGTATTTAAATGACATCAGAACCAGCATGGTGGCTTACACCTGTAATCTCAGCTCCTCAGACGGCGGAAGGCAGGAGGATCGCTTGAGGCCAAGAGTTGGAAGACCAGCCTGGGCAGCATAATGAAACCCTCATTTCTACAAAAATAATAATAGTAATCAAAAGCTAGGCGTGCTGGCACACACCTGCAGACCTAGCTACCGTGGAGGCTGAGTGGAAGGATCACTTTGAGCCCAGGAGTTTGATTGTATTGTGTATTGTGAGCTACGCTCGAGCCACTCCACTCCAGACAACACGGCAAGACCCAGTCTCTAAACAAAATAAAGGAACATCAGAGCATTGTTTATAGAGATTTATAAATGATCCCAAAATGTCGTCAGGGAGATAAATCATCTAAATATAGCTATATCGACTCTTCCTAAATTCCAAATTTGGGTGGGAAAAATAAATGAGATAGAAGACTTCTTGAAATGTATCAAGACTCAGGAAGACAAAACAAAAACTTTCATTAGGCAGTATCAAGAATGTTCATTAATGCTATTTCTAATTTATGATACGATCATCTAAAGAGGAAATCCCAGCAACAAGAGGCCAAAGGAAAGGGAAAAGAAATGAAAATAACGACCATACTTTCTACACATTCAACCTCTTCTCTATCACCTCTCAGCAAGACCTCCCACAGCCAATCACTGCTTTCTCTTGCGGACTTACCCTCTACTCCGTGAACACATGAGCCAGAGAACCCTGAGAAGTCCCTGACTCTCTTCCAGGGGCTCTGCAAGGTCAAAAGTCTTTTCATAAAAAGACACAGGTTTTGTTTAACTTTTCCACTTTCATTCTCTCACAAGTATAATTGGAGTTTCCCAGAGGCTACCTGACATGGGATGTCACAAGAAATTAAACATAGAAGCAGAAAGGAGAACCAAGTTTTCTTCTATTAAACCAGACTTTAAAGACATACCTAAAAATATAAAACAATGTCACTGTTCTCACCAACTTTACTGCTTAAAAATGATAATTTTAAATAAAAATGTGATTTATGTAAACATATTATTTTATTTGTTTTAATTTCTCAGTTTTAATGTTTAATATGATAAATATAGATAGATATAATCCAAATAAATAAAAGCTCTTTGGGGTCCTCAATAACTTTTAAAAATGTAGTGTTCCTGGAACCAAAAAGTTTGAGGACTGATGCGCTAAAGCTCCTACCCTTTGATGTAGCTTCCACCCAGGTCATTTCTTAAATACTTGATCAATCATTTCCCATGTCCCTCACCCTATCCTTGTTGAAAAATTCCATTTTCCTACTCCAGCCCTCCCTGTCATGAGAAAGTTCCCAGGTGGTTGACATGATTCACTAAATCTTTCTTAACAGCTTTATGATGATAACATGACATATACAAATTGTATAAATTTAAGGTAACTTAATGTTTTGATATTTCTATACTTTTCGAAATGATCACCACAATCGAGCAAATTAGCATATTATCTCTACATATTTACCATTGTGTGTGTGTTGACAGTAATTAATTTATGTTCTAGTCCTTTAGCAGAACACAAGAATATGATACAGTGTTGTTCCATGTTGTACATTATATCTCCAGAAATTATTATAACTTGAACATTGCACAATTTAATTAACATCACCCCATTTCCCCTCCCTGAGCCCCTGGCAACCACTGTCCTATTCTCTGTTTTTATGAATTTGACTGTTGTAGATTCCTCATGTAAGTGAGATCATGAAGTATTTGTCTCTGTGTCTTGCATTTTTGCTTGGCGCAATATCTTCCAGCTCCATCCATGTTTTCACAAATAGAAGGATTTCCTTCTTTTTCAAGGTTGTATAATATTTCATTTTATGTATACACGTCACATTTTCTTTACCCATTCATCTGTTCCTCTGCCAAAGGACACTTAGGTTATTTTCATATTTTGGTCATTGTGTGTCATGCTGCAATGAACAGGGGATGACAGACACCTCTCTAAGACTCTTCTGTCAATTTCCCTGGACATATATCCAAAAGTGAAATTGTTGGATTATGTGGTAGTTCTTTTTTTTTTATTTTTGAAACCGGGTCTCACTCTGTCATTCAAGGTAAAGTCCAGTGGCAAGATCATAGCTCACTGCAGCCTTGAACTCCTGGGCTCAAGCGATCCTCCTACCTCAGCCTCCTGAGTAGCTGGGACTACAGGTGTACAACACCATGTCTGGTTAATTTTAAATTTTTTTCAGAGATGGGGTCTTGCTATGTTACCCAAGCTGGTCTGGAGCTCCTGGCCTCCTGCCTTGACTTCCCCAAATCCTGGGATTACAGGTGTGAGACACCACACCAGGCCAGTGCTATTTTCAATTTTCTTTGGAGGAACCTCAATACTGTTTTCTGTGTTTTACTAATTTGCATTCCCGTCAATAGTGTATAATGGTTTTCTTTTCTCCACATTCTTACCAACACTTATCTCTTCTCTTTTTGATAATAGCCATTTTAACAGGTGTGACATGATATCTCATTGTGGTTTTGATTTGCATTACTCTGAAGTTTAGACATGTTGAGCACATTTTCATATACCTGTTAGCCATTTGAGTTTCTTCTTTTGAGATGTATTTATTTAGTTTCTTTGCCTTAAAATAAAATTAGGTTATTCATAATTTTGGAATTGATGTGTATATGTCTTTCTTATTTTTTGAACTCCTCATAAGAGATACGGTTTAAAACATTTTCCCCATTTCATAGGTTGCGTTATCATTTCATTATTTGTTTTCTTTACTGTGCAGAAGCTTTTTAGTTCGATGTAATTCATTTATCTATTTTGCCTTTGTTGCCTGTGCTTTTGGCATCATATCTAAACAAATTATTGCCAAGACCAATGTCAAGAATGTTTTCTCTTGTCTTCTTCCAGGAGTTTTATGGTTTCAGTGATTACATTTAAACGTTTAATCCATTTTGAGTTAATTTTTACATACGGCGTGAGCTAGGGATCCTATTTCATTCTTTTACATGTAGACATCCAGCTTTCCTAACACCATTTGGTCAACAACATATCCTCCCCTTAGTGCCTCCTTGTCACCTTCCAGGGTGATCAATTACTGCAAATGTGTGGATTATGCCTACGTTCTCTATTTTGTTTCACTGGTTTATGTGTCTGTTTTTATGCCATTACCACAGTGTTTTTTCTTTCTACAGCTTTGTAATTTAATTTGAAGTCAGGAATTGTGATACCTGTAGCTTTGTTCTTGCTCAAAATTGCTTCTGCCACTCAGGGATTTTTGTGATTCTATATGAATTTTAGGATTTTTTTTCTATTTCTGTGAGAGATACCATTGGAATTTTGATATGGATTACATTAAATGTGAGATTGCTTTGAGTAATATGGACACTTTAATAATACAATACTAACTCTTACAATCCATGGGTTGTCTTTCAATTTACTTTGGTTTAAATTTCTGCCATCAATCTTTTATAATTTGTAGTGTTTAAGTCTTTCACTTCTTTGGTTAGTTAGTTCCAAAGTAGTTTATTTGATACTGTTTTTTAAATTTCCCTTTCAGACAATTCATTGTTAGTGTTTAGAAATAGCAATGATTTTTGTATGTCGATTGTGTATCCTACAACTTTAGTAAATTTATTATATAGTCAGTCCTTCATATCCATGGGTTCTGCAACCATGAACTCAATGAACTATGAACATAACTTGTACGCATTTTCCATCTGTGGTGGTTTGAATCCACAGATGTGAACCCATGGATACATAGGGCCAACTGTACACCATTTTATGTGAGGGAGTTGATCATCACAGATTTTGTTATCTGAGGGGGTCCTGAAACAAATCCCCAGCAGATATGAAAGACTGACTGTATTATTTGTAACCATTTTCTGTGGAGTCTTTAGAGTTTTCAATGTATAATAATCATGTTTTCTGTTAACAGAGGTAACTACATCTTTCCTTTCAATTTTGATGCCTTTTATTTCTCTTGCCTGATTGCTCTGGCTAGGATTTCCACTACTATGTTGAATAGGAGTGATGAGAGTAGACATCCTTGTCTTGTTCCAGATATTAAGAAAAAGCTTTCAGTTTTTCCCCAGTGATTATAATATTAGATATAGGTTTTTCATATACAGCCTTTATAGTGTTGAGGTAAGTTTCTTGTATACTTATTTTGTTGAGAGTTTTATCATGAAAATATATTGAGTTTTGTCAAATGTGTTTTCTGCATCCATTGGAATGTTATTTTTATCTTTCATTCTGTTAATGTGGTATATCACATTATTAATTTTTACACTTTGAAACATCCTTGTATCACATAGATAAATTACAATTGGTCATGGTGTATGACCTTTTCAATGTGCTTTTGAATTCAGTTTGCTAGTTAGTATTTTATTGAGAAATTTTGCATCTATATTCGTTAAGGATACTGGTCTGTAATTATTTTTTCTTGTGTTGTCTTCGTCTAGCTTTTAAGTCATGGTAACATTGGCCTCATGAAATGAGTTTGAGAGTATTCTCTCTTCTATTTTTTCTGAAGGGTTTAAGAAGTTTTGGTGTTAGTTCTTCTTTGAATGTTTGGTAGATGTTGCCCATGAAAGCATCTGCACCTGGGCTTTTCTTTGTTGGGAAATTTTTGATTACTGATTAGATCTCTTTGCTTGCTTTTGGTCTGTTCTATTTCTTTTTTGTTCCATTTTAGTAGATTGCATCTTTCTAAGAATTGATCCATTTCTTCTAGGTTATCCAATTTATTGGCATATAATCACTTAATTGTCCTTTATAATCATTTGTATGCCTGTACATTTCCTATAATGTCTCCATTTTCATTTCTGATTATATTTACTTGAGTTTCTCTTTTTTTCTTAGTGTAGCTAAGGGTTTGTTATTTTTGTTTGTATTTCCAAAAATTCAACTCTAGCTTTGTTGATTTTTCTATTGTTTTCTATTTTATAGTTATTTTATTTATATTCTAATCTTTATTATTTACTTCATTATGCTAACTTCGGGTTTAGTTAGTTTCTCTTTTTCTAATTGTTTATTTTTAAAGTTAGGTTGTTCGAGTTACCTCTTTCTTATTTTTTAATGTAGGTATTTATCACTGTAACATTTCCCTCTTAGCACTTCTTTTGCTGCATCCTAAGTTTTGTTGAGTTGTATGTTCATTTTTGTTTGTCTCAAGATATTTTTAAAATTCCCTTTTGATTTCTTCTTTTACCCAATGGTTGTTCAAGCATGCGTTGTTTAGTTTCTGCATTTTTGTAAATGTTTCTGTTTTCTTTGTTATTGACTTCTAATTTTATGCCATTGTGGAATGAGAAGATACTTGGAGTTATATCAAACTTCTTATATTTGTAGTATGCCTTGTGACCTAAGATTTGATCTATCTCAGAGAAGATTCTGTGTGCACTTGAGAAGAATGTATATTCTGCTGCTGTTGGATGGAAAGTTGTGTATCTGTCAGTGTTTAATCTACTGTGTTGTTCAAGTCAGCTGTTTCCTCATTTTTTCTTCCTGCCTAGATGTTCTATCCATTATTGAATTTGGGGTGTTGAAGTTGGCTACTATTATTTTAGTGTTACTGATTTCTCCCCTTAGCTTTGTTGATATTAACTTTATATATTTAGGTGTTCTAATGTTGGGTGGATATATATTTTCAATCTTCCCATTGAAGTGAACTTTTATCATTATATAATGACCTTCCTAGTCTCTAGTGACAGTTTTTGATTTCAAGTCTATTTTTTCTCATCTAAATATAGATACCCTTGCTCTTTTTTGTTTACCATTTGCGTAGAGTATCTTTTCCCATCCCTTCACTTTGAGCCTCTATGTATCTTTATATCTAAAGTGATTCCCTTATAAATGGGTACTGATGAGTATCTTTTATCCACTGTGCCACTCTATGTCTTTTAATTAGATAGTTTAATCCTTTCACATTTAAAGTCATTGTTGATGGGTAAGGAGTAACTTGCGTTTGGTTAATTGCTTTTCATATGTTTTGCAGTTCTTTTTTTTTCCTCTCTTGCTGTCTCCTTAGTTTGGTTATTTCTTGTAGTGGTTTGGTTTCATTTATTTTTCTTCACATTCTGTGTAGCTCCTATAAGCTTTTAATTTGTGGTTGCAAATTTACATCTTCTATAAACAGATGTCTTAATGTTATCAGCTTTCTTGGAATCATTTTCTTTCTCTTCCCTCTTCAGACATATTTGCAAATACTCTGTTTTTCAAGACACAAGTAAATAGGGCTCTGGTTAGAAATGTATCAATACGAAAAAAAAGATCCTCTGAGTCTTTTGATAAGTTAGAAAATAATGATAGACTGCGGTAGAATGTCATGTATTTCAAGTTCTGTCATCTATGTTACTCTGCAATATATTTTCTGTGTGTATTAGTCAGTTATATATTTATAAGGTAAATCCGTAAAGCATACATTCTAGAATGCCCTAACTTAAGTCCTTAAGAGTTACGCTCCTTATAGCCTTCTTGGCACTCCTGAAGTGTTAAATATTTCCATTGAAGAAGGTTGTATATGGCTTCTGAGGTGAAGTCTACACAGGTTAGGATTATTTCTTGCTCCTTTTGCCCACACAGCACCCACTGTCCCCTCCCTTTGTTATTAGCCATTATCTGATACCCTAGATGAAGCCACCTTCTATCCTTCAGTTTTGGCGTGGTGGCTGATTTCACCCCCAGTTTCAGGAATAAGCACAGGACAGCTACTAACAAGTATGTTGTTCACTCAAGGAAGAAACCCAGCTAAGGGAGAAAGGGGGGTTGAAATCCAGCCTGCATGCTCTTCTCCAAGCCACATGCCCTGATACAGGGTTGCATCTAACTGGAGAAAGGGGAGCCATTTTCTAATACTTGCAAAGGCACTGTGTGGACAGTGGAAACCCTGTAGGTGCTCATGACACAGGCCTGGCCAATGAACATACTTCTAATCCTGGCACAGATGAAACTAGAAATGGACATGAAATCCAAGCCTCACACCCAAAGTCAATCTCTAGTCTCTTATTGAAACTATTAGAAGGGTTTCTGTTTTTGTTTTATCCTGGGACTGTGGAACTAAGGAAATGTAAACTGGAGGAGTGATGATGGCCACATTGCAGCACAAAGGGAAAACTTGTCTGAGAATAAAATCAATGGGGAAGAAAAAGCAAGGAAGCTGAGAGGAGCCAAGTCCTGAGTCCCTACGTTCAGACATTCTGAAGCTACACCCTGGATTTTTCCATTATACGAGTCCACAAATTAATATATATTTTTTGCTTAGACCAGTTTGAGTTTGAATTCTATTATTTATAACCAAAGGAGTCCTACCATATTATCTTAGCCGGATTTTCGAAACACAATATATGTTGATCAACAAACTTCCTCATAAAATGAGTTAGGGAGGATTCCCTCTTTTTCTATTGATTGGAATAGTTTCAGAAGGAATGGTACCAGTTCCTCCTTGTACCTCTGGTAGAATTCGGCTGTGAATCCATCTGGTCCTGGACTCTTTTTGGTTGGTAAACTATTGATTATTGCCACAATTTCAGAGCCTGTTATTGGTCTATTCAGAGATTCAACTTCTTCCTGGTTTAGTCTTGGGAGAGTGTATGTGTCGAGGAATGTATCCATTCTTCTAGATTTTCTAGTTTATTTGCATAGAGGTGTTTGTAGTATTCTCTGATGGTAGTTTGTATTTCTGTGGGATCGGTGGTGATATCCCCTTTATCATTTTTTATTGTGTCTATTTGATTCTTCTCTCTTTTTTTCTTTATTAGTCTTGCTAGCGGTCTATCAATTTTGTTGATCCTTTCAAAAAACCAGCTCCTGGATTCATTGATTTTTTGAAGGGTTTCTTGTGTCTCTATTTCCTTCAGTTCTGCTCTGATTTTAGTTATTTCTTGCCTTCTGCTAGCTTTTGAATGTGTTTGCTCTTGCTTTTCTAGTTCTTTTAATTGTGATGTTAGGGTGTCAATTTTGGATCTTTCCTGCTTTCTCTTGTGGGCATTTAGTGCTATAAATTTCCCTCTACACACTGCTTTGAATGCGTCCCAGAGATTCTGGTATGTGGTGTCTTTGTTCTCGTTGGTTTCAAAGAACATCTTTAAATCATGCTGCTATAAAGACACATGCACACGTATGTTTATTGCGGCACTATTCACAATAGCAAAGACTTGGAACCAACCCAAATGTCCAACAATGATAGACTGGATTAAGAAAATGTGGCACATATACACCATGGAATACTATGCAGCCATAAAAAATGATGAGTTCATATCCTTTGTAGGGACATGGATGAAATTGGAAACCATCATTCTCAGTAAACTATCACAAGAACAAAAAACCAAACACCGCATATTCTCACTCATAGGTGGGAATTGAACAATGAGATCACATGGACACAGGAAGGGGAATATCACACTCTGGGGACTGTGGTGGGGTCGGGGGAGGGGGGAGGGATAGCATTGGGAGATATACCTAATGCTAGATGACACATTAGTGGGTACAGCGCACCAGCATGGCACATGTATACATATGTAACTAACCTGCACAATGTGCACATGTACCCTAAAACTTAGAGTATAATAAAAAAAAAAAAAAAGAAAAAAAAAAAAAAACTTCCTAAATGTTTCCAGTTCACTCCAAAGAGTGTGGGGAAAAAAGAAAGAAGAGGAAGAAAATAGTTACTTATCATCCACAGTAGTCAAGGAAGCTGCAGAAGCATCAAGCAAAAGCAGCAGAAGTTAGCTTTGTACTCCCACAAACCCTGCTCTGAAGTACTCCGCCTAGTGTCCCACAGCAGAAGCTGCATTTCTAAAATTTTTAAAAAGACAGAAAAGGAATCACCACTTACCCTGGGAAACCTAACAGGGGAGCAGGCCACATGGGAATATGTCCCATTGGTTTGAGGTCGATAAGTCCATTTTCAAAGCTTTAGTAATTCCAGAAACAAGAACATATTTATTTTGCTTTAATCACACAATGCCTAGTTATATTAAAAGTAAGGAGACATTCAATAAATACCTTTTATGGAAATAAAAACAGACAATTTAGGAGAAAATTAACTATCGATGCATTATTTTCAAAGGTAAAGAAGAAAGAAATTATTCTGAACACACAAAACTATTTTATCAAGTATCATGGTAAATTATTATTACATACTAGGTCACTTAAGAAATTTCCAGAGATGATTGGAAAGAGTTTCCACAATAGATTTTGTTTCACCCCAGGAAGAAGTTTCACAAAAAGTTAGTTACTTATCTCCATTGTTACTAGTACCAAACTAATCCTATCATTCTGAGTCAAATTACAAATAACGTCCACACTTTTCTCCAGTGAGATCACAGGAGATGCCTCAGTGGAGTGTGTTTTAATGTGAGGGGATAATTGGTTTATATTTTTCACTGAAAATAACAAATTCTAGACAACTTAAGCAAAATAGGAATTCGATGAAAGGACATTGAATAGTTCACAAAATCATTGAAGATGCTGGAGAAGCAAGGTAAGAACTGAGGGAAACTCAGCACAGCCAAGTTCATTCGACGGAAGCAGATCTCGGGATGCCACCACTAGGATGTTGCCATTTGACACTTGTCACCATGTAGCTGGGCTCTGCTGAACCTAGGCACTTGCTACCACATTTCTGGACCTGCATCTCTGCTCAATTTCTCAGAATCACCTCTGATTCTTTCAGGTCTTTTGCATCATTTCATCGGGTTCCAAGTTCTAATAAAGAGACATCAGTTGGCTGGGCCTAGATATGTGCCCACACGTGAGTGGCCAAGAAACTGGAAAAAGGATCATGCACTCCTTTCAGCTTTTGTAATGGAAGGTGGGGCCTGTCCTCATATTTCGCTTGGGGTTCAAAAAACTAGGAAGGGTGTTTTGTTGAAATGAAACCCAAAACTATAGCTATCCATTTATAGCACCTTATTTGTACAGGAAGAAACCATGAGACAAAATGTATAAAAGTGCATGGGAGGTCTAAACATATGAGGGGGTTTCTGAGGAGAGAAAGATCATACTTGATTGGTGCTGTGGTTTCACTGTGCCTCCTCCGAGATTCAGCGTTGACAATGTGATAATGTTGAGGTGGATCCTACAGGAAGTGATTAGGCCATCAGGACTCCTACCTCAGGAATGGGTTTAGGAGCCCTCATGAAAGGGCTCCATGGAGGGAGTTCATCCCTCTTGCCCTCCCACCTTCCACCATGTGAGGACACAGTGTTCCCTTTCTCTGGAAGATGCAGCATCAAAACACCATCTTGGACGGAGAGAACAGCCCTTACCAGACATCAGACCTGCCAATGCCTTGATCTTGGACTTCCTAGTCTCCAGAACTATGACAGATAAATGTCTGGTTTTCATAAATTGCCTAGTCTGTGTTATTTTGTTGTAAGAGCATAAATTGACTAAGACAATTGGGGATTAGAAAATGTTTTTTGAAGTGGCATTTGAGAAGGGCTTGATAGATAAGATCTCTACAAATAGAAATAGAGAGATGGTTTGAAATCACCCAGGTGAAAGGAGTAACACAGCCATGTTCAGTCTGAATGCAAAATGGAGATGGTAAAAAGTACATAGGATTCCACCACCAGTGGGAGGACAGAATTGCAATGTGGCAGCAATCTGTAAATATAATATTTATCACTCATTCACATTTATTTAGAGTCTAATGTGTTCTAGGCTCAGAAATTAAGCAAAGAAAATCTAGATATGCATAAGTCCAAGACTTTGCCTTTGTGACAGTCAAAATAATGACCCCATAAAGATGTTCTAGTCCCTGGAATCTGTGACCATATTACTTTACATGGGGCAAAAGGGACTTTGGAGATGTGATTAACTCTTGAGTTAGGGGGATTATCCTTGATTATCTTGGGGGTCAATCTAATTGCATGTGTCTATAAAATCAGAGAATCTTTCCTAGCTACAGTCAGAAGGTGATATGGCTACAGAACAATGGCCACAGACATCCCACATTACTGGCTTTTAAGATGGAAGGATGGTCCCATGATCCAAGGAATAGGGACAACATCTAAAAGTTGGAAAAGGAAATGGATTCTCTCTAGAGCCTCCAGAAAGCAATACAGCCCTGACAACACCTTGACTTAAGCCCAGTAAGACCACAGTCAGAGGTTTGCCCTAAAGAACTATAGGGTCGTAAGTCTTTGATTTAAGCCACAAAGTTGCAGTAATTTGTTATGGCAGCAATACAAAATTAATATTAAGAACTTTATTATTTGGAAGATAGGCAGACCAGAAAATCCAAATTATAATATAATTCGATTAAAACCTATGGAGATTTGGGCTAGGTGTTTTAAAAAAGAATTGAGTATTAACAAGACTAACAGAAGAAATGTTCTAAAATTTACACACTAAGTACATCACATTTTTCTAATGATCACGTTGATAGAGCAACTTAGAATCCATGGTTTTAACAAACCAACAGGCTTATATACATATATATAAAATATTATATATATATAATGTATGGAATAGCCCCATGGGCACAGGCAGCCCTGGGTCAAAGGGCAGCACTGTACTAGCAGCCCACACCCCACCTCACCCGCCTACCCTGAGCTGACTTGTCTGCTAAATGATAAATAAACCTGTCGACCTGTCTGGTTTAACTTAGAAGGGCTTGAATGCAACAAGCCTGAGGGCTGTGACTGGCGGAAGAGAGAGCACAGACGGAGCTCCTCCTCCTTCTGCCACTGCCCACCAACTGAAAACCACCAACTGAAGTTTGCTTAGATTCTCAGCCTACACCTTGTTCCCAACAAAACACATGCAATACTTTGGCCCCCACTACAATCTCTGGAATAAAATATTCTACGGATCTGCTTTTTGAGCTGGAACTTATCTTACTAAATTCCAAGAAGCTTATGTAAGAGAAAACAACCAGATAATACAAAATTTTCAATGTGATCATCATTGCTACTTTTAACTAGAAATTATCCAGTAAATGTATTGTGAACTGCTTTGTGACTATGGTGATTTGTTTAGTCTTTCTGATCCTTGGTTTGATTATCTCAAATATATGAGTATCACCAATTTTATAAAGTTGCTCTAAAAATTAAATGAAAGAAAAATAATCCTCCTACTCCATATATTGAACACTTACAAAATTATAGGCATTGTGTCCAGGTTTTTATATACTTACCTGATAGAAGTCTCCTAACAACCCTCTCTTTTAAATTACAGCATTTTGCCACGGTTTTTACACATGTACGTTATGGAAGCCTCGTAACAATCACATATTTTATAGATCAGCAAACTGAGGCTCAGACGAGTTAAAAACACATTCACCATCAAATCATAATGAGGGATGGAACTGGGATTCAAATCCGATTCTCTCTGATGCCAAAAATGGTGCAATTTAACGAGGACCAAGTTACACCCAGAACATGGAGGGATCAAAATATGTGGATTCCCTTTTTGGCCCCCTAATGTGGGAATTTCAGTAGCTTTCACTGCCTCAGAGCAATCCTAAACTCCCTCCCAGGTTGCCTTGCAATGGCCCCCTTATTCGTGGGGATGATTAGGAATCTGCATTTTTGGACCACAAGCATCTATAAAGAGTTGTGTTGATCAAGAAGTAAAATTTTCTAGGCCATAGGTTACTGTGAATTATCTAGCTTCTCGCAAAAAATAAATGGGCTATTCCATGTAAAAAAACACAGGACCCACTGAATCTGTGCAGAAAGACTTAGAACTATACTGCAGGAGCATCTTACTGACAGCTGCGCCTGAAGACCAGCCCAAACACACAAAGCAAGAGCACCTCCAATGACCAGGTGTGGTGGCTCTTGCCTGTCATCCCAGCAGTGTGGGAGGCCAAGGTGGGTGAATCACTTGAGGCCAGGGGTTTGAGACCAGCTTGGACAACACAGTGAGCCTTGTCCCTACAAAAAAAAATCATTTTTTATTATTCGAATCAAGAAGAGTACCTCTAACCCCTTACCGTTGCTTTAGGGTAGATAGCTCTGGTCTAGAACTTAAGATATGAAACTGTGAGTCCCAGTGTAGCTACTTAAGTTTAAATACAAGAGCTGTCAGACATTTCCTCTAAAGCAACGAAATCTGTAGCATCCACTTTGGACTTTGAAAACTTAGTTTTTGACCAGCCTCTAGGAAGAAGAAGAGGGCCCATAACTGGGCATATGGGTAGGGAGGAGAAAAGAAACCAGCTGGATGCAACAGAGAAAGACCAAGGGATGGAGACGCCAGGCAGAGCCAGTCCTCATGCTTGGGGCCTGGGCCTAGGAAAGGAACTAGGTGAAGAAGGGAGGAGCCCCAGGCTGTGGATGTCTCTGGGGGAACCTTGGTTCAGCAACGGCCAGAGGAGCTCCTGAGTCCAAGCGGTATCTGTCGCCTCCCTACCTTTGGGGGTCTTCTGGTCGCCAATGTGCTGCAAGTCATGGCTCCAGAATCAAATTGGGCTCAAATTGTGCGAGCTCCAACGCAGTGGAGCCTGGAGCTACTCCCACCTCCTCCTCATGGATCTCAGAGCTGCAAGATGGCTCTGCCCACCGCACCCTAAGCTGGCCCTGCTTGGGGCTGGCATTGGGGGACAGGATGTTCTGGGCGTTTCTGCTCCTTTCTGCTGGTGCCTGTGCCTTTGCTGGCCAACGACTCATAGATATCAGAGCCACAGGACGGCCCCGCAGAACCCCTGTGCTGGCCCTGCCGGGGGCTGGCTTTGGTGCACATGCAACTGGTCATCGTGGTCCCCATGGGGCACCTCTGCTCTTCTCGAGGCAGCTTGGGCCTCCGCTTGCCCCTACGTCTGCAGAGCTGAGCACCTGCTGCCTCTCCCCAGGAAAGGCAACCAAATGCCACCAACTTAAGGCACCCACTGAAGGCCACCAACTGAAGGCCGGTTGCCCTGCCAACCTGATCGTGTCCTGCTTAGGAAAAACCAATCAGGCCTTGAGTTCCCTCCACGCGCTGCCCTTCCATTTGTGACGTGTGAGTCCAGGCACTGGCTCACAAAGCCGCGCCCCCCAGCGACCCCGCCCCACCTTTCATTTATTGGTAGCTGGAAGCAAATTTCAGGTTTCCTCACTGTGAATTATGAATATGAATTATGATGCAATTACTATATCCTAATGTACCTCATGCACTATCTGACAGCCAAAGTCCCCTCTTCCCCTATGGCCTCTGAGTTTTTTAGAAACTAGAAAGAAGATACATTTCTGCAGGTGCTTTCAGAAAAAAACATTGCCATGATCTAAGGTTACTCTGTGATGTCAAGTCATATTTCATATGCCATACATATTCATATTTATAATCATAATTCAAAATGCACATATTCAATCAAATTAACAGGACTAAAAAGGAAATTTTCTAAAATTTATACACTAAGTATATTATATTTTTCTAATGATCACTTTGATAGAGCAAACTTAGAATCTATGGTTTCAACAAATGAAGAGGCTTATGCAAGAGAAAACCACCACCTAACACAAGATTTTCAATGTGATCATCATTGCTACTTTTCACTAGCAATTGTCCGGTCAATATATTGTGAACTGCTTTGTGACTATGGTGATTTATTTAAACTTAGTGATCCTTTGATTATCTCAAAAATATGAATAATGCCAATTTTATAAACTTGTTCTAAAAATTAAATGAGAGAAAAATAATCCTCCTTCTCTATATATTGAAAACCATCAAAATTAGTAACATTGTGTCCAGATTTTACACACTTACCTTATTGAAGCCTTATCACAACCCTGTCTTTTAAATTACAGGGATTATTCCCAGATTTTTAAACACTTACCTTATGCAAGTCTCATAACAATCCCATCTTTTATAGATGAGCAAACTGAGTCTCAGATGAGTTAAAAACACATTCACCATCAAATCATAATGAGTGATGGAACTGGGATTCAAATCCAGTTCTCTCTGACACCAAAGGTGGTGCAATATAATGAAGACCAAGTTATATCCAGCACATGGAGGGATCAAAACATGTGGATTCCCTTTCTCTACCCTCTTACATGTGAATCTCAATGGCTTTCACTGCCTCAGAACAATCCTAAACTCCCTCCCAGGTTGCCTTGTAGAGGATCCCTTTATTTTGGGGACGATTAGGAATCCACATTTTTGGACCACAGGCATCTATAAAGGGTTGTGTTGATCAAGAAACAAAATTGTCTAGGCCATAAGTTACTGTGAATTGTCTAGCTTCTCTGCAAAAAATAAATGGGCTATTCTCTTTATTTTTTACTATTCCACTATTGACAATAGCCTAGAATCAACCTAAGTGTCCAAGAAGACTTGGTTAACCCTGAGGATTACTAATGTTTTCACTGTGGTCATTGTGGTAGATTATATTATCATTCTCCCATTATCTGGTCTTCCTACTGCAGTGACCCTATCTCCTAGAAGATTATACATTTCTGTCCTATTGAAGAAAGGGTCAGATTTAGATATGTGACCTGTTTGGCCACTGAAATGCAGGTAGAAGTGGCATGTGTAACTTGTAAGCAGAAAATTTCCTTTTTCAAGGATCTGGGAGCCATCCCTTTCAAATGTAATCCTCCAGAAAGATAATACCTTATTTCCCAGTCTCCATGAGAGAGTAAGAGCCTAATCTTGCTCCAAGTTGTAAAAATTACCTTATATCATAAAGATAAAAGAAAGTTTAATTTTCCTTTGAGAAAAGACAGTTAGCAAAGACAGGTGGCCTATGATCGCCCCCTTACCCTCACTTTCAAAAACTCCACGGCCCTTTGTATCAGAGGAGCTGAGTTCAGACTAGGTCTGGCCTCTCTCCCGTATTGCAATAGCTTGAATAATATCTTCCTTACTTATTTAACTTTTTCCAGTGCAATTTTTCCTTTGACTCTTTCCTCCCTCTCTAAAACTTACATTGAAATTTTAGTAGGATTCAAGGCAGCCAACCTCGACCCTTGAATATGTAAAAGAACCCTTTAAGATTAAAAAATCCATGTTATCTTCCATAAATTATTTCTCCAGACTATTGCCTTATTAAAAGTTTCTAGTTCTTATTTTTGCATTGAAAAGGAGAATGATGATTTTTAAATAAGTTCCTACTCACTTTTAATTTCTACTATCACAGTTTTATTGCTTTTCATGGCAATAGATTCCTCTGGTTCAACAAGAAGGCCAGAACAAGGAAGTACAGAAACATCTCAATATATCTCAAGAAGTTATTTAACATGGACAGTGTCATTTAATATCTTTAACATCCCTATCAAATGGATGCTATTATTATCCCCATTTTACAAGCTATTAAAACTTACATACTGTAAATAACCAGCTGAAAGTCACATAGCATGGAAAATACAATAAGCATACAAAGAAGCAATGGCATTAGAAGTGGAAGAGGGTGAAGGATTAAAAGGCTAAACTTAGTTTGGTTAAGAAAAAAGAAAACTAGGAGGTGGCAAACTCTTGTTGGAAAGGGGAAGGGTTTGGGCAGAGCAAGGTAGTGGAGTAGATCTCTCTAGTAATCATACCACTACAGACACATCTATATGAACAACTATCCACATATGAAATTAACTTTACAAGAGCTAAGGAATCCTGAATACGTGAGTGAGTCTATGAAGCCCCTTTGGACTGCAAAGAGGAGTAAAACCATGCTTGGACAGTAAGAGAAACAGTACTCTTTGACTGCGATACTCCTCCCCCAGGCCATAATGGTATTATATGCAGAAAGTCCTCCTGAACTCACAGTTCTTACACTGAATAAAGTGAGCAGAAGTTGAATATTTTTCCACCATACTGAGTGCCTTCACAGTAGACTCACTCCTGCATCAGCCCACAAGCAGCACCATGAGTGTCAACAGAGCTGAACCACCAGAGGCATGCTAGGGACATAAAGAAGGGATTGGGTTAGCAATACTTACTATATGAAACTTAGCAGTGGCTAGCCATTCCTACCAGAGGAAACATTATACCAGGCAGGTTGTTTATGGGCACCACGCTGTGGGAAACATGATACACAGACTGTCCAGATTTGATGGCCTGACTTGTTCTCCCCCTACAGACAGCAGTCTTTCTGTGGATCACCCACAGGCCCATCCAGTTACATTGCATCAATGGTGAAGCCCCATTGCAAGACTTATGTCTAACCTTTGCTTTGGGCACCTCCTAATGCTAAAATGGAATATAATGGAAACCCACACAGAATTTCTAAACAAGCCCACTGAGAAACAGTCAAAAACAAACCCAGACTGAGAAGATTGAAATAAATATTTAATTCATCAATGTGTAGACAGAGATGTACATCTACAAAAATTAAGAATAGCCTTGGAAAAACTGCCTCACCAAATGGAGAAAACAAGGTGTCAGCAACTGAACCTAAAGACATGCAAATGAATGATGTGGCAGACAAAAAATTCAAATAGCTGTTTTTTTTAAAAAAAAAATCTGTGCACTTCAACAAAGCCCAAAGAAACAATATGGAAATTTATGAGAAATTCAACAAAGAACTTAAAATAATGGGAAGAAATCAAATGGAAATCCTGGAGGTGGAAAGTTCAGTAAATAAGCTGAAAAATGCACTAGAGGGCATCAAGAGTAGAACTGATCAAGTAGAAGAAAAACAGCAGTGAGCTCAAAGACAGGCTCTTTGAAAATACACTGTCAGAGTAGAAAAGAGAAAAAAAATGAGAAGAAACAAAGAAAACTTACGAGATCCATGGGACACCATCAAGAAAAAAAATCTACAGTGTTAAAGTGTGACTAAGAATGAAAAAGAGTTAGAAGCTTATTCAGAGAAATAACAGACAACTTTTTAAACTTGGAGAAGGATTAAGATGTTTAGGATGGCCAAAGCTCACTAATTTGATTTAATCTGAATAAGACAACCAAAAGACATATTATAATTAAACTTTCAAACGTCAAAAACAAAGAGTAGGTCCTGAAAGCACTAAGAAAAAGGAAGCATATAACACATAAGAGAATTCCAATGTGCCTGGCAGCAGACTTCTCAGCAGAAACAATATGGACCAGGAGAGAGTAGGATAATAGAATCAAGTGCTGAAGAAAAAAACTGTCAACAATGAATACAGTATCCAGCACAGCTCTCATTTAGAAATGAAGGAGAGGTTAAAACATTCTAAGACAAACAAAAGATGAAGAAATTCATTGTAACCATACCTGCCTTAAAAGAAATGTTAAAGAAGAATCTTCAAACTGAAAGAAAAGGGCACGAATATGTAATACAAAAAATTGGAAGGTACAAATCCACAGGTAAAAATAAATATTCAGACAAATTCAGGATGCTCTAGTATAGTAATAATTGAATATAAACCACTTACATGTTTTTAGTAAGAAGGTTAAAATACAAAACAAAAATAATAACAACTACAATAATTTGTTAAGGGATAAGTGATATAAAAGATGTAAATTAAGACATCAAAAATGCAAAATATGGGGGAGTGATTGAGTTAAAGAGCAGATTGATTGCCCTTCTCCATTTCTTATTATCAAAATTAAGTTGTTATCCATTCAAAATTACCTATTGAAACTATAAAATATTCTTTGCATGCTTCATAGTAAACAAAAAGCAAACATTTTTATTAGATACACTAAAAATAAAAGAACAAGAAACAAAAACACACAGAGAAAATCACTTAACTACAAAGGAAGACAACAGAGGGACAAAAAGGTACAAAAATTCTAAAAGACTACAAGAAAAGAGTATATGGCAGTACAAGTCCTTATCTATGAATAATTACCTTGAATGTAAATAGATTAAATTATCCAGTAAGAAGACAGAGAATGGGTAAATGGATTAAAAGCACTACCTAACTATATTCTTTCTACAAGAGACTCCCATCTCCTGTAAAAACACACATAAATTGAAAGTGATCAGATGGAAAAATATATTTTATGACAATGGAAATCAGAAGAATGCAGAAGTAGTTATATTTATATCAAATAAAATAGACTTCAAGTAGAAAAAATGTAAACACAGACAAACAAGGCCATTATATAATAATAAAGGGGTCAGTACAACAAGAGAATACAATAATTGTAAATATATAATGCACTCAACATTGGAGAACCTAAATATGTAAAGCAAATATTAATAGATCTAAAAGGAGAGACAAAAAACTGTATAATAATAGTATGAAACCTCGACATCCCATTTTCAGCAATGAACAGATCATTGAGAGAGAATCTCAACAAAGAAACATTTAAATTGCACTCTAGATCAAAAGAATTTAACAGTTATTTACATAACATTTCATCCAACAATTGCATAATTCAGTGTCTTTTCACCTGCATATGGAATATTGTCCATGATAGATATGTTAGACCACAAAACAAGTCTTAGCTAATCAAAAAATCAAATCACATCACGTGTTTTTTGACCATATGGAATAAAGCTAGAAATAAACAACAGGAGGAACTTCAGAAATTGTGCAAATACATACAAATAAAACAACATATCCTTAAACAACCAATGGGTCAATGAAAAAAAATTAATTTTAAAAATGTCTTAAAACGAGTAAAAATGAAATCAGAACATATGAAAACTTATGAAATACAGCAAAATGGTCCTTAGAGGGACGTTTACAGCAATACATTTCTACATCAATAAAGAAGAAAGATAATGAATAAACCATCTAACAATGTATTTCAAGGAACGATAAAATCAAGAACAAACTAAGACCCAAATTAGCAAAAGAATATAAAGATCAGAGCACAAATATACAAAATGAAGACAAAAATTACAAACGACTAATTAAATGAAGGAATCTTTTTTGAAAAGGTAAAATTGACAAATGTTTTGTCAGACTAAGAAAAAAAGAGAAAATTCACATAAAATCAGAGATGAAAAAGGATATACTATGATAGACTCTAGAGAAATATAAGGAATCATGAGTAAGTACTACAAACAATTATATGCCAATAAATTGAAAAACTTAGAAGAAAAACGTATGCTCTGGACACATATAACCTATCAAAATTGAAGAAAGAAGAAATAGAAAATGTGAACACACCAATGACAAATAATGAGACTGAAGGAGAGATTTAGGCTCTCAGTCAAGGAAAATTCACTTCACACAGTAGCTCACAACTGTAATCTCACAGTTTAGGAGCCCAAGGCAGGAAAATCACTAGAGGCCAGGAGTTCAAGATTAGCCTGGGCAACACAATGACACTCCATCTCTAAAAATAAAAATAAAAATTCCCCAGGTATAGTGGTGTGTACTTGTACTCAGGAGACTGAGGCAGGAGGATCACTTAAGACCAGGCGTTTGAGGCTGCAGTCAGCTATGACTGCACCACTGTATGCCAGCCTCAGTGATAGAGTGAGACTCTGTCTCTAAAAAAATAGAGGAAGAAAGAAAAGTTCACGACTTGGTGGTTTTCGCTGACAAATTCTACAAAACATTTAAAAAACTTATACAAATGTTTTACAAACTATTTCAAAAAAATGAAAAGGAGGGAACTCTTCCAAACTCATTCTATGAAGACAGCATTTCCTGATTCCAAAATGAGACAAGAACAGCAAATAAAAGAAAACTCCAGGCCTATATCATTGATAAACATAGATGCAAACATTCAAAACCAGCAGTTCTAGCAATGATAATTCAAAAGCACATTTAAAAGATTTTTCACCATAATCAAGTGGTATTTACATGGAGAGGTAAGGATAGTCTAATACATGTAAATCAATAAAATCTGATACATCACATTAAACAATGAAGGATAAAAAACATATAATCATTTCAATAGATGCAGAAAAGCATTTGACAAAATTAGACATCATTTTATGATCAAACCTTTTAACAAATTAGTTATAAAAGAACATAATAAAATAAAGATCATATGTGATAACCCACAGGCAACATTACACTGAATGGTGAAAACTTGAAAGTTTTGTCTCTAGGATCTGGAACAAGACAAGGATGTTCACTTTAATCACTTTTTTCAACATAGTACTAGAAGTCCTAGTCAGAACAATTAGGTAAGAGAAAGAAATAAAAGGCATCCAAATTGGAAAAAAAAAGTCAGATTGTCCCTCTTTGCAGATGACATGATCATATATGTAAAAAACCCTAAATACACCACTGAGAATCAGAAATAATAAATGAATATAATAAGGTTTCAGGATACAAAAGCAACATAAAAAATCAGTAACATCTCTATACACCAATAGCACACTATCTGAAAAAGGGATCAAGAAAGTAATCCCATTTAAAATAGCTATTAAAGAAACAAAATACCTACAAGTAAGTTAAGCCATGGAAAGATGAAAATTATTAAATATTGATAAAAACAATTAAAAAAATTAAAATAAATAGAAAGATATCCCATGTTCATGGACTAGAAGAATTAATATTGTTGAAATGACTATACTACTCGAATCAATCTACAAATACAATATAATCTCTATCAAATTTCCAATTTCATTCTTCACAGATATTAAAAAAAATCTTAAAACCCATGTGAAACTACAAAACACCCCAAATAGCCAAATAAATCTTAAGCAAAAAGAGCAATGCTAGAGGTATTACACTATCTAATTTCAAAATATATTACAAAGCTATCCTAACTAAAACAGCATGGTATTGGCATAAAAACAGGCATGTAGACCAGTGGAACAAAAATAGAGAGCCCAGGCATAAATCCACACATTTACATGCAACTTATTTTTGACAAAGGTGCAAACATTCAATGGGGGAAAGACAGTCTTTTCAACAAATGATGCTTGGAAAAGTTCATATCCCCATACAAAAGAATGAAAGTAGACCCTTATCTCTCATAATATACAAAAATCAACTCAAAATAAATTAAATGTTTAAATGTAAGACCCCAAACTATGAAACTAGTAGAAGAATACTTAAATGAAATGTTATATGTCATTGGTCTGGGCAAGGACTTTTTAGAAACACATCAAAAGACATGCACAACAAAACCAAAAATAAACAAATGGGATTACTCTAAATAAAAACTTCTGCACTGCATAGGAAACAATCACAAGAGTGAAGAGACAACCTACAAAATGGGAGAAAATATCTGCAAACTATTCACTTGATAAGGGGTTAATATCCCAAATTTATAGAAAACTCAAACAACTCAATAGCAAAAACACAAATAATTGGATTAGAAAATAGTCAAGAGAGTTGAATAGACATTTTTCCAAATAAGACAAAAAAATCACCAACAGGTATATGAAAAAATACTCACCATCACTAATAATCAGAGAAACGCAAGTCAAATCCACAGTGAGATATCATCTCACCCTGCTTAGAATGCTTTTTATGAAAAAGTCAAAAAATAACAAACGCTGGCAAGGATGTGAAGAAAGGAGAATGTTCATACACTGTTGGTGGAAATGTAAATTAGAGCAATTTCTACGGAAAACAATATAACTTCCAAAAACATTAAAAATAGACATCACATAATCCAGCAATCCCACTACTGGGTATATATTCAAAGAATATTAAATCAGTATGTCAAAGAGATTTCTGGACTCTCATGTTTATTACAGCACTATTCACAATAGCCAAGAATCAACCTAAGTGTCCAACAATGAATGAATCGATAAAGAAAATGTGGCATATATGCTGTATTTGGCCATTCTTGCATTGCTGTAAAGAAATACCTGAGATTGGATAATTTAAAAGAAAAGAGACATAATTGGTTCCTGGTTCCATGGGCTGCACAGGGAGCATAGTGTCAACATATGCTTGACTAGTCAGGAAGCTTGAGAACTCATTCACTATCATGAGGATAGCACCAAGTCATGAGGGATCCACCTCCATGACCTAAACACCCCCTACCAGGCCCCATCTCTAACAGTGGGGATTACAATATAACATGAGATATGGGTCAGGACAAATATCCAAACTATATCATATGCACATTTGGCCATAAAAAAGGATAAAATCGTGTCACTTGTGACAACATGAATGATCATAGAGGACATTGTGGTAAATGAAATAAGCTAACCACGGTAAGACAAATATCACATGATCTCATTCATATGTGAAATCTAAAAACACTGATCTAATAGAGAGTGGAAGAGTGGTTACCAGACTGGGAAAGATAGGGAGGAGAGGTTTTAACAATGTGTCAGATATCAAAATACCACATTGTACCCCATCAACATGTGAAATTATCATGTAACCACTTAATAAAAGAAAAGAAAAAAGAAAATGGAAGAGTCAAGATACTGGGGCACTGGAAGAGATAGAAGAGAAGGTGAATTGGCAGTAAGGAAGAGAGAGTCTGAAAGAGCATGTCACAGAGTGGAACATAAAAGTTTATAACATTAGAAATCAATTTTTAAGTTATTGAAAAGTTAAGTTTATAGCCATGAAAGTGAGTAGCTCAATTGAAGTGAAAGTAAAAGTCAATGAAAGATTAAATTAGAAAATATATTGCTTGGCATTCAGTAGTTACTTCAGAAATATTAATAAATCTTAAGAAAATTAAGAACACCAAAGCATTCATAGTGGACCATTATCATAATATGAATCTATGAGGTAATATTTTATTCTTTCCAGTGAAGGGAGTAATTCAACAGTCTTGATTATAGGTTAGAAAATGATTTCTCCAGGTGCGACCCACTGACCACATTCATTGTATTTGAATTGCTTGAGCAATTTGTTTCAGGAGAAAATGGAGAGATTTTAAGATGGACCAACGAAATTACCACTGAGTGTCTTTAATGGAAACCTCAGCCTTGTCTAGAATAACCTGGGTTATCTGTTTCTATAGGGTCTCTGTGTCTTTTGTTTTCCTTGTTATTTGCAATTCTGTTAGTTGTAGATTACTGATAGTAATGCAAATATTCTTGACTATAGACAGGCAAATGATTGATTTTGGTGGAAGTATAATTAATTTTCCTTTTTCCACCTTCCATCAAGAAGTCAGTTTTGAACCTATCAAGCAGATTTATTTCAGTGTTCCTTAGTGCCTAGATATGTGTGGCTCTTTTAATTTTCCATAAAGCTCAGTATAACATCTTACTGGCTCCCTAATTAAATAAATGAGTTAAACAAAAATCTTAGACAAGTGTTCATTTTATATTTGTAAGTTATAATTTACCCTATTTTAAGCAATTTTCCTTTATCATTCCTAAAAATACAGATTCCTATGCCCCATGCTTGACCTATTGAATCAAAATCTCAGGCCTAAGGCAGAAGAATTTGCATTGTTAGTAGGCTTTACAAATGATTTTTAGGCATACTAAATTGTATTAACCATTACCATTCTAATTCTTTAAACTTGAATTATTGTATTTATGATTCCATCTTCATCAAAGTAAACTTTTGGTTAGCAAAAAGGGTAGAAAGCCCCTTATTCAATCAGATTGGGACCAGTAATAAACAGATTAATCACAAATTTAAGTTAGATGGAGGAATCATAAGAAGTATTAGATGTAAGTCCTTAAAACTTAACTTTAATTTAAAAGACATGTGTAAATAAATTTGCCAGAATTTTGATGACAAGGTCAAAGCTTTGCACGGATTCAGAGTGGAGTTTCTTGTGGAAACTACGCCAATGATATGTTGTCATTGATTTCTTGTTCACTTTCTGTGAAGACAACTGGGGTAAAGCAATCTGAAATCCTAGATTACACAATTTTTCCCATTTGTTTCTAGTTGTCTTGCCAAGAACAGTTAAGCTGAGAGCAGCTGTTTGAGTTTCTCATTTTTCCAACACATTTAGTTTATTTCTCAAAGAAACAACAATACTACTGTTGTTATACTCATTTTCTCAGTTTACATAATATTTATTTATTTATTTATTTATTTATTTATTTATTTATTTATTTTGAGATGGAGTCTCGCTCTGTCACCCAGGCTGGAGTGCAGTGGTGCGATCTCTGCTCACTGCAAGCTCCACCTCCCGGGTTCATGCCATTCTCCCGCCTCAGCCTCCCCAGTAGCTGGGAGTACAGACACCTGCCACAACACACAGCTAATTTTTTTGTATTTTCAGTAGAGACAGGGTTTCACCGAGTTAGCCAGGATGGTCTCGATCTCCTGACCTAGTGATCCACCCGTCTCAGCCTCTCAACATAATATCTAATTAAATCACATAACTACAAGAACAAGAACAAATGGTGTAAACATATTTAGGAATGAACACAACTTCCTCTTAGAAACTATACAATTTCTGTGATGGAAGGAGAAATGTACAGGCATTAAAAGTAGCTCAAAGGTTTTCAGTTTGCAGTGGACATCAGTCAATAAGTTGTACAGGGGTAGCAGAAAGTGCTGATTGCAAATCAGTTAAGTGGAAGTCAGTTAAGGCAGCATCCACTGTATCTTAATTTGTGAAGTGAATGTTCTAAAACTGGGTTCACTTTTGCTATAAAGGACCAGATGATAAATATTTTAGGCTTTGCAAACCATACGGTCTCTATAGCAACCATTCAACTATACCATTGTAGCAGGAAAGCACCACAGATCCATGGATGTGCTCCAACAAAACTTTATTAAAACAGGCAGCTGGTCTGAGGGCCATGTATATATCTTCCTGTTTTCATACAATTTTCTAAGTTAGTAGTTCCCTGTCTTTTTAACAATCAAGGATTAATTTTAATCCTCTCCTCTGATTTTATGTTTCAAAAGCCTTAAGAAAAACCCACAAAATATATTTATTTTGTAATTTTGGGGGGGTTCTTATTTTACTAATAAGTAATCAATGATATATAAAGGATACCCACTAGGTCAGTATGAAATAATCAACATTATTAACTCTAATGAGTTAGTTCTGGATAGAAATAAAAAGTATTTAACTATATATATATAACTTAAAACCTGTATAGCTTTTTCTGGTGTAAATATATAACTTTTTTGAGATTTTTCAAGTATTAAGTACAACTTTTGGGAATCCTCACACCTGGCTCCCTATGATGACATTCAAGAATTCCTTAGGATTCTGGGAATCTTAGAATGAAAGTCACTGCTCTGTAGGAATGAATGAATGAATAAGAAAGGGAAGGAAGAAGAAAGAGCATGTTTACTAAATGTAAATTAATCATCAAGGAACGCTTATTTTATTAATAAATTTGTCAACTTTGGGTTGCCAAATCTAACAAGATACCAACATGGCATTCATGGTGATCACACCTCTAGTCAAATTTTATTTTAGTTCATTGACTATAGATTAATATCCTGAAATACTCAAAAATTCTGTCCTAATTCTGTGAATAATTCACTTATTAATCACCCTATACACTACTTAATGAATGGAATGGTGCTTGGAATAAAGATAATTACAGGGCTAAAAGGGTTTTCTCTAGAGGCAGGTTATAGGATTTTGATGTCTGACTGGAATAAAACAAAATTAATCAATATTTTCTGCAACCGGTGGCTTTTGAATTAGTCGTCTATTAATATCTATCAATCACTATAACCTCATTCCTATTTCCTCCATTCTTCTTTTTGCTATCATAAAAACTTGTCCACTTTTTTCCTGTTAGATCTATATGTTTCTCCTCTTTTCTTTTCATCCAAACAACTGGACATCAACTTAGTACAGATAGTGCAATTGATCTGAACCCTACAGAACTCACTGTTCCCATTTACATAACTTACATAACTGTCAAGCTGAAATCACTCTCAAAATTTTTTTAATTCAAAATTTTAATTTCATTTAATCATATTTATTTATTCATTAGTTAATTTATTTTGAAGATAATTTTAACTTGTATTTTACATTCAGGGGTATATGTGCCAGTTTGTTACATGGGTGTATCTCATAATGCTGACTTTTGGGGTATGAATGACTCCATCATCCAGATGCTGGTTTGGTATGTTTTGACTCTGTGTCCCCACCCAAATCTCATGTTGAATTGTAATTCCCAATGCAGGGGGAATGACCTGGTGGGAGGTGATTAGCTCATGAGGGCAGATTTTCCCCTTGCTGTTCTTAGATGGTAAGTGAGTTCTCATGAGATCTGATGGTTTAAACATATGGAACATCCCCCCTGGCTCACTTGGTCTCCTGCCGCCATGGTAGAATGTGCCTTGCTTCCCCCTTCACCTTCTGCCATGATTATAAGTTTCCTGAAGCCTCCCAGCCATGCTTCCTGTACAGCCTGTGGAACTGTGAGTCAGTTAAACCTCTTTTCTTTATAAATTACCCAGTCTCGGGTAGTTCTATACAACAGTGTGAGAACAGATTAATACATGAGCATAGTACCCAATAGTTAGTTCATCAAACCATGCCTTCCTCCTTCTCCCCTCTAGTAGTCCCGATGTTTATTCTTTCCATTTTTATGTCCGTAAGTACCCAGTGTTTAGCTCCCACTTATAAGTGAGATCATGTGGTATTTCGATTTGTATTCCTGCATTAATTTACTTAGGATAATGGCCTTCAGCTACATCCATGTTGCTTCAAAGGACATGATTTTGTTATTTTTATGGCTGCGTAGTATTCCATGGTGTGTGAAATGGTTTGGAAGGTGGCCCCTATAAATCTGATGGTGAAATGTAATCCTCAGTGTTGGAGGTGGGGCCTGGTAGGAGGTGTTTGGGTCATGGGGTTGGATCTCTCATGGCCTGATACCATCCTTGTGATAGCGAATTCTTTCAAGATCTGGTTTTGTAAGGGTGTGTGGTACTTAACCCCACTCCCATTCTCTCTTGCTCCTGCTCTGGCCATGTGATGTGCCTACTCCCTCTTTGCCTTCCATCATGAGTAAAAGCTCCCTGGAGACTCCATAAGCTCCATGCAGATGCCGTCACCATGCTTCCTGTACAGCCTGCAGAGCTATGAGCCAATTAAATCTCTTTTCTTATAAATTACCCAGTCTCAGGTCTTTCTTCATAGCAATGCAAGAATGGCCTAATAATACTGTGTGGATGTACCACATTTTATTGATCCAATCCACTGTTGATGGACACCTAGGCTGACTCCATGTCTTTGCTATTGTGAATAGTGCTGTGATGAACATGCAAGTGCATATGTCTTTTTGGTAGAATAACTGACTTTCTTTGGGTCATATACCAGTAATGCAATTGTTGGCTTGAAAGGTAATTCTATTTTAAATTCTTTGAGAAATTTCCAAACTGCTTTCAACAGTGGCTGAACTAATTTACATTCACACCAATTATGTATTAATGTTCCCTTTTCTCCACAGCGTCCCAAGATCTGTTGTTTTTTGATTTTTTAATAGTAGCTATTCTGACTGGTGTAGGATAGTATCTCGTTTTGGTTTTGATTTGCATTTCTCTCATGATTAGTGATGTTAAGCCTAATCATTGCCACCAGAAAACTGGGAGAATACAGTGTTGCTTGTCAAAATAAATTGTTTTACTTTGCTTTAAAAATAATCAATTGAGTAGTATATTTCTTCCAGCAAAATTAAGAAGTAAACATTTAGAAATGTATAGTACCTTGCTGTTAAGTCTTCACACAAGTATACCAATCGAACATAAAGGCCATCTTAAACTTTCATTTGAAATGAAAGACAATTTTTAAGAGGTTAAGGGCTAGTAATTTATTAAAGTCCTGAAGTTAAATTAGCTCAAGTAAATACAAAGACTTTCCTTTAATTAAAGCCTTTTAAATGAACACTTTAAAGCATAGTTGGTTTCTCCCTCAAATCTTGTCCAAAGCCACTGTTAACAACTCAGTATATCAAAGAAGGTTTCAGACATGATTATGAAGCTCCCTCAACTTATAATGTGCTATTTGCAACCTTAGATGGCTATCATTCTGGCTTTTCTACCTTTTAGCAACAATAAGCACACCCTTCCCATTTCTCCCCCACCCTGACTTACCCCTCTTTGCATTTAATATATAATTTTTTGCAGAGTGTTCTTACACATCTTTAACTGTAAATATGACAAAAGCACACCATATAGTACATGTGCCACACGTATAAATGTTGTATCTAGTCATACAATTTTCCTTTTAAAGAAGGAATATTTTATTTTCAAAAAGCAAAGACTCTAGGAATCTTTTCTAGCTGCCAGTCATAAAAACATAAATTCCTGGTTAGATTCCAAAATTTGCCTGACCATAAGAACCACTTGTGGTACTTGTCAAACACATGTATTCTGAGTCCCATCCGTGATCTTCTGAATCAGAATCAGCAGGTGAGAGGCCTGGGAATACACATTTTAAACAAACGTCCACAGTGATTACGATTAGTCAAGCTTGAAAAAAATGTCACTAGGATCTTTATGACTGAATAACCTCACAAACATAGGAAAGTTACTGGAGAAAAATATGAGCAGAATTTCAGAATTCTGCCCTTGCTGAAAGTGTTTGTTCCCTCCTCCTCTACTCATCAAGACCTGACTGTTTATGTAACTCCCCCAAACCATCAACACCTGGGAGGAGTTGAAAATGATTTTAATGAGGAAGAAAAGCTGATGTTTAATTTCAAAACTGACTGTGACAATAGAAGGGAGAGACATGAATTTATCTTGATTCTAACACAAAGCATTGTATTTGAGTCTACAAATGAAATTGGTTTCATTTTTATTTTTTGTAAGTTTTTGCCAAACTCTATGCATATATAGAGGCTGCGCAAGAAAGAAAGAAATCCAGAAATATGGCATAAGCCATCCCTTATTTATTTCCCCATGCGACCAGCCAACAGCTTCTTCACCTAGTCCCTGCTTCAAGCTGACTTTCTGTCTACTTCTCTATCGGAAATGGAGCTTCCCTAAAGACTGCCTCAATGTCAGTTACCCACCGGCCTTTTTTCCATCTTGTGCTCCTAAACTTCTATGATATTAAATGATATTACCCTTTCTAGAAATTCTCCTTAGCTTTGATTTTATACTTTTACTCTAACTCTGTTTCACTCCTTCTTTTATAGCCTTTCTTTTCTCTATCCCTTTACTGCAGACATGTTGTACGGCTTTGTTCTTGACCTTCTGATCTCTCCATATTCATTCCCTCAGAGCAAGTATCCATTTTCTTGGTGTCGGCCTTCCTGACTATCTGATTATTACCATCATATAACGATGTTGGTGATGAGCATAGCTAACATATCCTAGGCATTTTCCATGTAGGTTATAATAAGCACCCTATATAATTCTTACCATTTAATTCTTCCACCCTAAATGGTACTATTACTAACCACATTGTATGAGGTGAGGAAACTGAGATTTTCATCAAAACCGCGGAAAGCAAACGTGAGGAGCCCCTGTGTGTCTCCTTTGTTAATGCCTCTGGACATCATGGCATGTGGATTGCCCTGGAATGGGGATTAGGAAGTGCAGCACTGTGATAACACCAGTAAATATGTTATGATAGCGGGTAAGGCCGCTCATCTCTGCACATTGAGATGGTTTTGTTTCTGAGTCAGGTTTGAGATGAGCCAATCCTGACTCCATGGTACCACCAGGGATCACGAATTTAATAAGATCTTCGTGGATGCTTGGAACCCAACTGGTCTCTGTTTTCTACTTTAGGGAAAGAGCCACAGCTTGAGTGGAGTGGGGTGGTTTTGGTGTCACATACGCGATCAATAATACCCACCGTTTTGGTGTCACATACGCGATGAATAATACCCACCGCTGCAGAGGAATCACCGTGGACTACTCCTCGTTTCATCCCATGCTCTTGCGATGGATCCCTCTCACCTGTTTACTGATTTCATTCAAATTCTTCAGCGAAAACAGGACCCCGACTTGCCTTCTCTATCCTGGTTCCCATCACTCTGCTTTACAGGCCTGGCCTGCTTGCGGCTCCCTCCACGCCTCCGCCCTGTTTCCTCCATCAGACAGGACTAGCTTCCTCTATCTCTATCGGGCAAAAGCCTGCCCAGCGTTCAAGACCCTCCACAGATGCCGCCTCCACGATTAGCCTTCTTCCTGACCCCTGAGCTTGTAACACGCGCCACCATAACTCTCCACCTCAGCCCACATTCCCACAGCACTCGCGACGTCCGCGGCCCTCAACATGGTGCTTCATTCTATTTTAGGGTATTTCCTGCTTGTTGCCTACACACACAGTCGCACGAGGCACAGCCCCGAGTGACCCGCGCACGAGTGGCCCGCGCTTCCAGCCGCGCCGCCGCAGGCCAACGAAGGCAGCCTAAGCCGCTTCCCGCCCCCGCGGGGACCGTCGCCAGCCCGCAGCTCTAGCGGTAGGCCGTTTCACAGCGCGCCCGGCAGCCCCGCCACCGCCAGTACCGGCGCCTCGGGCGGACTTTACTCCCCTCGGGGAGGCACGAATCCTCAGGGGCTCCTCGAGAGGGAGCCAGGGAGCAGCTGCCTGCGGCACCTTTCGGCCCTCTGAGGCCGCCGTAGCTCCCCAGCAGAAACTCGGAAGTGGAAATCTCAGCCATTCAGCGTTTGGGTCAAGATGAAGGCGGGTTCTGGACAGACGTACCCAGTCAGGGAATGTTTACTTTGCCTCCACTTCTGTTCCTCCCCGCCCTGGTGCTGCTCCGGGTCACATACTCGTCCTGAGCCGGCTTCAGCCTCTCCGCGCAGAAGTCTCCCGGAGCCGACTTCTGAGAGTCGAGTACTCCTATGTGAAGACTACCAAGCTCGTGTTCAAGGGAACCAAGGCGAAGAGGTGGGTCCTGCAGCTCTGGCGGGAGCCTTCTCAGTTCTTTTCGGACGCACTCCACCCCCGCGAATCCGGTGGAAGTCGTGCCGCGGAGAGCTGGCTTTGTGGCATCCCAGGCTTCGCCCTGGCGCCTGTCCGGGCTGGATGGAGGCCAGATAGCGGTTCCTGGCGCCTGTGCAGAGAGGGGCAGCCTCCCGCGCGGACGACCCTGGAAACAGGATAGACGGGCGGGTGACCCGTGGCCCCGTACCCACGAGTTTGGGTCCCCTGAGGCATCTCTCCAGGCCTCTGCCTGGTGAGTCTGCGTTAGTCTGATCTTGTAGCTCATGATGATAACTTCCTTTATTAGGGATTATTCTTTTCTCCATTGTCTCTTCCTGGAAAAGTTATTGATTAATTTTTTCTAAGCTAATATGTAGAGTGAAATCAGGATGAATCACACAGTGGTTGAGGTGTATATGGGCTTTGATAGGGATATGGGTTGGAACCTGCACTCTGTCATTTACTAATTTTGTAATTTGTGGCAAATTGATTAATATGTCTGAACTTCCATTTACTCATTAAGAGATCAAATATCTTTGAACCTCCGTTTACACATTTATACTTTCAGACCATTTTTTATACCTTTAGAATACTGTGAGGATTAAATGAGAGAACATATATGCAGTAAATAAATTGAGCCAAATGTCAGGAGGAGGTCGTAGTGGTAATTTATTAGCTCTTTAGGAGAAAAATACCTGTGCACTCATATCCCCGCTTCTTTTTTAACTGGCAGATTTGCCCGAGGTTGACTGTACATACAAATATTGAGCATTTCCTCCTGGTCTCCGTGATAAACAGAGGTTTTGATATTTTTAGGCGAGATGGAAAGAAAGTATCAAGGAGTGAGCTGAAGCCACTGCCCTTGAGAACCCTCTCGAGGAGTCTGGGCTCATGAGGATGCCAGAATAAGTGGCAGGTATATCCTGAATGAATGTGAGATTTTTACTCTGTGAATTTCCTGTGAGGAGTGGTGAGTTATCTTCTGAAAACTTTATGATGATAATGCAGACAAGAGTGTCTTAAGATTATCGTAATAATCATAATTAATGCTTGTATAGCACTTTCAGTGTGCCAAGAAATATTTGTAGGCACTTTGCACATTAACTTTTTTCAAGTCGCTCTTGGTTTTTTATTTTTTTATTACGATGTCATTCATAATTATAAAATTCACCCTTTTGTACAGTGGTTTTTAGTATATATTCAAGAGGTTCACCACTGTCTAGTTTCTCAGTGTTTTCGTCATCTCAGAAGGAAATCTCTTCCTACCCATTAGAGCAGTCACATCCCATCCTCCCCCTCTCCTAGTCCTTGGCAACCACTAGTCTGCTATCTATGTGAAATTGCCTATTCTGAATATTTCCTAAGAAATCATGCAACATGTGGCCTTTTGTATCTGGCTTCTTTCACTTATAACATTCTTGAGGTCCATCATTGTTGTAGCACTTGTTCCTTTTTATGGCTGCGTAGTATTCCATTGTATGGATGTAACATTTTGTTCATCCATTCATCAGTTGATGAACATTTAGGTTGTTTCCCCTTTTTGACTATTGTGACTAATGCTAGTGTGAATATTCTTATGTAAGTATTTTTGTGGGAGTAAGTTTTCATTTCCCTTGGGTATACATACTTAGGAGTAAAATTGCTGGGTCATATGGTAACTCTTTAACTTTTTGAGGAACGCCAAACTGTTTCCTGTAGATGCTGCACCATTTTACATTTCCACCAGCAATGTGTGAAGATACATATTACCTCTTAATCCTCACAATAGCCTTAAGAGTTAAGTTATTATCCTAACTTTTTAAGTGGGGAAACTGACTCACAGAGAGATTCAGTACTTTTTCCAAAAATTGCAGAGCTAAGAAGTGACAGAATCAGGATTTAAAATCTGGAAGTGTGGCTCTACAATCTGCTTTGAACTTTAACATAATATGTACAAAGCCTGAAGCAAATTCTCAGCGCTGTATTTAAGAGAGCATAGCAATGTAAGTCTTCCTAAATCAATAATTTATAAATGAAACAGCTTAAAAGACTTCCAAGTTTCAATCTTATGATATTTATTTATCACACAAATCAATATACCTAAACTCATCTATATAAATTATGTCCTGTAGTAAGAAGAAAAAGAACAAAGATAAGAAAAGAAAAAGAGAAGAAGATGAAGAAACCCAGCTTGATATGTTGGTGAGTCAGTTTTCAATGCTTTATTCTGAAAAAAGTTAACATTTCTTGAGATCTCATTGAAAATATTTTCCTAGTTAGAAATTTATGATGTATTCATATTTGTCTTAAAGTGCTTAAATATTACCTACAGTTGCAAATTCCATTTATTCTTTAGCACAGTAGATGCTACTGATGCCTTTACTTCATTATCAGAACAGAGCACAGGAGAGAAGAATTACAACTCTCTGACTTAGTAGGCACCATTAGACTGCTTAATAGCCGGAGATTCTGATACATAATTTTAAAGGCTTAATGTAAATGTTATTCAACCAAATATATTTTACAAGTTATTTTCTTTGAACATGTATACATTTTAGTTGTAGAAGTCAGTTGTCTCTTAAACGAAGTATCTTCACAGGAAAAATCATTATTTTGTGAACTCTGAAATGAATGAAAATTTTAAATACAATATCAGGGTAGCCTGTAAATGATACTGGAAATAAATTGACCCAAACACACTTAACCAGCCTGTTTTCCATTTAGCTGTTTCCATACTTTTTTTTCTCTTTTAAAACTTGGTAAGTTGCATTTTGAATCTTCATAAATTATGGTAGCTTAAAAAATATATAAAATATGGAATGGTATAAAGCTAATATTCTGGAAGAATCATTGTTTTTGAAATGGCAAATCAACAATTCTAAAATTAGGGTAAATATCTAGGGTAGATATGTAGATGTGGAATTGCTGTGTCAAAGGATAGGTGAATGTTTAACTATATAAGAAACTGCCAAAAATTTTCTAAAGTGGTTGCGATATTTTACTCTCCCACCAAGAATGAATTAGTTCTCCAGTTACATCCTTGCCAAGAGTTGATGGTGTTATCAGTCTTTTCTCTCAGTCTGAGTTTTTCCCAGTCTGAGTTTCTTAATGGTGGTTTTCGGATGGACACCTTTTTTTTTTTTTTTTTTTTTTTTTTTTTTGAGATGGAGTCTCGCTCTGTTGCCCAGGCTGGAGGGCAGTGGCGCGATCTCGGTTCACTGCAAGCTCCACCTCCCAGGTTCACGCCATTCTCCTGCCTCAGCCTCCCAAGTGGCTGGGACTACAGGCACCTGCCACAACGCCCAGCTAATTTTTTGTGTTTTTAGTAGTGACAGGGTTTCACCATGTTAGCCAGGATGGTCAGAAGCTTTTAATTTTTATAAATCTTAGTTTATTTTTTTTCTTTTATGGTTACTGCCTTATCTCTTTGACCTAAGAGATCTTTGCTTACCCCAAAATCAGGAAAATATTCTACATTGTCTTTTAGAGGCATCATAGTTTTAATTTTTACATTAAATCTGTCACTAATCTCAAATTAATTTTTGGCATGGTGTGAGTTTGGTTTCAAGATTTACTTTTTTTTTTTAAATTTAACATCTTGATAGCCATTTGTGCCAGCACCACTGGTGTTTCCTTTTTCCATTAATCCAGTTTCGTATCTTCATAAAAAATCAATTAACTTTCTATGTATTGGTCTATTTCTGGACTCTATTCTATCAATTGTCTGTTTTTCTTTTGGTATATTTCTCTTGATTGCTATAATTTCATGAAGTCTTGAGATAAGGTAGTGTGTGTCCACCAACTTTGTACTTACTAACTATTAGTTTATTAATTTCTACAGTGAAGCCTGTTGGATTTTCTCAGAGAATAGTATCGAGTCCAGATAATTTAGGGGAGAATCAACATCTTAATATTGGGCCTCAATATTTCATAATTTTCAATGTAGCAGTCTTGCATGCCTGTTTAAAAATTTATTCTTAAGTATTTTATAATTTTACACTACTGTCAGTAGAACTTTTGAATTTGATTTTCCAGTTGTTTGCTGTCAGTATGTAGATATACAATTGATTTTTGTATAGTGACTTTGTAGTCTGATAAGTCTGTTTCACTTC
Organism: Homo sapiens; assembly: GCF_000001405.40. Classification (NCBI taxonomy): domain Eukaryota; kingdom Metazoa; phylum Chordata; class Mammalia; order Primates; family Hominidae; genus Homo; species Homo sapiens. The sequence goes on along the minus strand of NC_000020.11, from coordinate 28,598,481 downwards.
TTACTTCTAATGATTTGTTTATATAGAAAACTAAGAAATTTGCAATTATGTTTCCTGTGACTATCATTTTACCTCTTTCTTCCTAATCCTTATGTCTTGTCTTGCTTTTTATTGGTTTATTATACTGTTCAGGACTTCCATAGTGTTGAACAGAAGTCACGAGAATGGGCGTAATTGCATTGTTTCCAAGCTTAGGCAGAAAACTTTTAGTAGTCCACCATATGGTATGATGTCTGTAGGATCTGCAGAGAAAAACTTTATCAAAATGAGGACTTTGTTTCTTGGGAGTTTTTATCATAACGATGTTTAATGCTGTCCAGTGCCTCTTTCTGTAATCTCTTGAGATGATTATACAACTTTCTTCATTCTGCCATTGAATAACATTGGTTTCATTTTCAACTTTTAAACTAACTTTACATCCCTGAGATAAACCCCACTTGGTTGTGGTGCGTTGTCTTTTGGAATATTGCTAGATTTGATTTCTAGGTGTTCGTTTTTCTTCTTTATAAGATTTCTATATTGGTGTTGATGGGAGATATTGGACTTTTGTATCCTTTTCTTGTAATGGCTTTATTTGATTTTGGTGTCAAGGTGATATTGGGTGTCATAAAATTAGATGGGAAGTGCTGTCTCCTTCCCTGTTTTTGGAAATAGCTGTGTAAGATCGGTATGATTTCTTCTTTAGATGTTTGATAGGATTTACCAGTGAAGTCATCTGAACCTAGAGGGTTTTGTTTGGTTTGGTTTTAGATTTTGAGGGAAAATTAAGATTTTTTAAGAGATATTTTCAGATTTTTCTGTTGTCAGCTTTGGTAATTTGTGTCTTTTAGGAAAATTTCATTTCATCCAAGTTGCTGGATTTATTGGCATAAAATTGTTCAGAATATTCCTTTAATATCCTTTTAATGTCTGTAGAATCTAATCTGTATTGCAGTCTCTTCATATTGGTAATTTTTGTTTTTCCATTTTTTCCTGGATCAGTCAGTCTAGCTGGAGGTTTATCAATTCTTTATAAGATCATTTATTTTAGATCATTAATGATCTTTTAGTACAGGGGTATTCAATCTTTTAGCTTCCCTGGGCCACAATGGAAGGAGAATTGTCTTGGGCCACACATAGAATACACTAACGATAAGCTGATGAGCCAAAAAATAAAAAAAGCAAAAAAGTCTCATAATGTGTCAAGAAAGTTTATGAATTTGTGTTGGGCTGCATTCAAAGCTGGCTTGGGCCACATGCAGCCCTCAGGTTGGACAAGCTTGTTTCAACATTACTTATTTTTTCTTTTTTTCATGTTTTATTTCATTTATTTTCAGTCTTTTTTTTTTCCTCCCTTTAACTTATTTTCAGTTTACTTTGCTCTTGTTTTATTGCTTCTTAAGAAGGGAGTTAGATCTCCTCATTCCATGTTAGTTTTAGTTATAGTCAACACATTTTGTTTTCATTTTCATTCCATTCAAAATATCTTCTAGTTTTCCTTGTGATTTTTCTTTTCATGGACACTTGAGTTATTTAAAAGTGTACTGTTTTTAATTTCTACTACATAGAGATTTATAGGTATGATATTGTTGCTGATTTCTAATTCACTTATAGTATAGTTGGAGAACATACTTTCTTAGCGAATTTCCATGTACACTAGAAAAGGATGTGTATTCTGCAGATGTTGGTTCAGGGTTTTTTTGTTGTTTGTTTTTTTTTTTTTTTTTTTTTTTTTGAGATGAAGTCTTGCTCTGTTGCCCAGCAGGCTGGAGTGCAGTGGCGTGATCTTGGCTCACTGCAGCCTCCGCCTCCCAGGTTCAAGTGATTCTCCTGGCTCAGCCTCCAGAGGAGCTGGAATTACAGGCACCTGCCACCATGCCTGGCTAATTTTTTTTTTTATTTTTAATAGAGGCAGGATTTCACCACGTTGGCCAAGCTGGTCTCAAACTCCTGACCTCAGGGGATTCGCCCACCTCGGCCTCCCAAAGTGCTGGGATTACGGGCATGAGCTGTGGCGCCTGGTAGTTCAGTGTTTTTTAGATGTCAGTTATATCAACTGGTGGAGCTTGTGACTATGGACATCTTCTGTGTCCTTACTGATTTTTCACTCATCCTACAATGTATTGAGAGTTATGTTAAAATCTCCAGCTGTAATTCTAGATCTGTCTACTTGAGCAGTTTTTGCTTAAAGTATTTTGAGGCTGTCATGTGTACACATTTAGGATTGTTAAGTCTTCCTTATAAATTCAGTCTTTCATTTTCATAACATTTTAACCTTTATTTCTGTTAAATGTCTTGATGCCTAGTTAAATTATTTGACCACCCTTTTGCTCCTGTCAAGCCTGGGCCTTTGTTAGTTTGTGCTTATTTATTAGGTTTTTGCCTGTAGACTTAGACAGTGACTCTTACTCTAGGAAAGTTTCATCCTCATGGGCCTCAGCCACATGTTCTAGGTATATTTGGTGAGTTCTCTCCACTCTGCTATGTCCCAAATTTGTGTGATCTCTGGCATCTCCAGTCAGCCCTCAGAAGTGCCAGCCACTCTGCATGGGCCTTGTGGAGCCTGCCTACTGTATGCACTCCCCCCAGCCCTTGGCCCCAGACCTGCAGAGAACTTTTGCATACTCTTTTGAGGCCTCACCCTCTTCTCCAGTACCTTATTCTATAAACTCCAAACATGTTAGCACTGCAAGACTCTCAGCTTAGTGACAGTGACATTGCCTCATTTTTGGAGTTCTCTACCTCTCTCTGCGTCATCAAGAAACTGCCATTGGGCAGAAAACAGAAGTGTGTGTTAGATTTGCCTCCTGTGTTTTCCTGTTCTCAAATATCACAGTCCTGTTCTGCCTGTGTTCCAATCCCCAAAAACAGTTCTCTCAAATATTCTGTCCAGTTTCAGTTTTCTCATTGGTCATGGTGGGAGGGCAAGTCCATCTTGGCTGGAAGAGGAAGTCCTTCTGCGTCTTTTTCTCTTTGTCCTTCCACCTTCTTTTGCATTGTGGATTTTCTAAACTCGCCGTAAAAATAAGCATGTGCCTATTTGTGAAGGGAAAGAAAAAAACCTTTTAATTTTTTAAAGCTGTTCTGTTGGTTCCTCACAAGGATCTGAAGGGATTGGTAAACAGGATGAAAGAAATTCTGTTTTTCACATGGAGAATACCATGTGTGACATTAATAAAAATGAGCATGTCTGTAAGCAAATAGTTTCACTGAGCTCTGCTAGATTCAGAAGCAATTGACTTACAACATCGTAGTTTGCAAAACACAGATTTGATTTACCCAGGAACTAAAGCTAAGTAAGCTATGGGTTAATAGAAGGTCTGTGAAGGGTACTTAGACTACAGTAAGATTTGGGAATAAAATTCCATTTCCGAATCTAAGATATATCATTCCTTTGTGCCAAGCACATAATGAAGGTAGAGATTTAAGGGGGCCCTTAGCACAGAAGCACTGGGTTAGTCAGAAGGTGAGGTGAGCTGTCTCACAGCCTTGATGCTAGAATGAGGGTGCCCTGGGAGTATCTTATCAGCCATGACACTGGTGCATCAGGCCATTTTTTTTTTTTTTTGAGACAGGCTCTTGCTTTGTTGCTCAGGCTGGAGTGCAGTGACGTGATCATGGCCCAGTGCACCCTCGACCTTGTAGGCTCAAGCCATCCTCTCACCTCGGACTCCCGAGTAACTGGGACCACAGACTTGTACCACCATACCCAGCTAATTTCTTAATTTTTTTATAGAGATAGGGGTCTCCTTTTGTTGCCTAGGCTGATTTTGAACTCCTGGGCTTGAGTGATTCTTCTGCTTCCACCTCTCAAAGTGCTGGATTACAGGCATGCCAGACGTATGGAAACATTCTCAACTATGTGAAAATATGTGAAAAGCTTTGTTATGCATTGTGAGACAACAACACAGCGGGAATGTTTCACCATCTGCCTAAGGTTTAAAAGGAAATAACTTTAAGCATGTGTCTAAATAGCAAGTAATGTTTTAGAGCGGATTCTCTTAAATTCAGCTTGGGCGTCTGCAGCATATACACAGCTTGAGCTGTAACCTGACATAGAGACAGGCAACTTCAGTGCCCACTGTTCTTAGGATCCACTGCTTTTTCACAGCTAAAACCCCCGAGTGGCACCGTTAAGTATTATGTTATGTTACTTTAGTCATTAAACATATGAGCATACCTCCAAAGGTTGAATGTAGGCCACTTGCACAAAGTAGGCAGAATGCTCACATTTAATTCTTGATGATACTGTGTTTAGCTTTCTTATTCTTTGAAATCTCATTGAGAAGAAATACTGGCATCTGCTCAAAGTAATTTCTTTTTCAGTTGACAATATTATAAGTAATATTATTGTATCATTTTCCTACTTGGACAGAGGGTGAAAATTTTGAGGAGCTTCTCTGCCAGAAATTTCTTCTTCATTTGCAAAACATTAATGAGATATTATATTTAAATGATTTTATTTAATATTAAGTGTACTTGGTGAACGTGGCATAGAACATACAAAATAAAACTAATTTAAAATTATTAACTATTACATTTATAAGAAAGACTTGTTAATCATAACACTGTTCATAATGATTCTGAATAAAGCATTATTTCCTTTACTGAAAACAATTGTAGCTATAACTCAACCACCTAAATTGTCATTAGTTTTATTGCTTTCCAATCGTCTGTAGCTGAAATTTTAATTTTGACTAATTTTCTTTTTCTCCATTGGTTTTGTGTGTGTGTGGAGGTAAAATATACAGAGTATAGAATTTGCCAATTTTTCTATTTTTACGTGTACACTTCAGTGGCATTTAAATACATGCACCATTTTACCTTCCCACCAGCATTGCAGAGGGTTTCAGTTTCTCCACATCCTGCCCAACATTTGTTTTTCTGGTTTTCTTGGTTTCTGTTTTCTGTTTGTTTTGATAATAGCATTCTAATGGGTGTGAAGTGGCATTGCATTATGGTTTTGATTTATATTTCCCTAGTGACTAGTGATGTTGAGCGTCTTTTCGAGTGCTTATTGACCATTTGTATATCATCTTTGGAGGAATGTCCGTGTATATCCTTTGCCCAGTTTTGAATTGTGGTATTTGTCTTTTTGGAGTTCTCTATATAGTCTGGATATTAATTCCTTATAATGTATGTAGTTTACAAATATTGTCTCCATTCTCTGGGTTACCTTTTACTCTGTTGACAGTGGTTCTTGATGCACAAAAGTTTTTAATTCTGATGAAGTCCAGTTTGTCTGTGTTTTCTTTTGTTGCCTGTGCCTTTGATGTTCTATATAAGAAATCATTGCCAAATTCATTGTCATGAAGCTTTTCCCATTTTCTTCTAAAAGTTTTCTAACTTTAGCTCTTACATTTAGTTCTTTGGTCTATGTTAAGTTACTTTTTGTATTTGGTGTTAGATAAGGGTCCAACTTCATTTTAGCTAAAATTTTATGTATTTTAAAATTGATTATGAAAAGCATGAAATGTTTAGTTGAATAGAAAATTTTGTGCAGTGGAATTAACTGAATCTTTAAAACCTTTTTATTATGGAAATATCCAAACTAATCCATACATAGAAGAATATAATGAGTCCCCCATGTGCCCAGGCCCCAGCATTAATTATCAATATTTTGCTAATCTCGTTTCATTTCATACACACTCCCACACACAATTTTTCCTAGAAAATTTTAAGTAAAATCACAGATATTGCATCATTTTACCCATAAGCACATAAATGTACATTTCTTAACATGGTATGTCTTTCTCTCATCACCTGTTTTGTTCTTTACTTTTATACGTTATACTATGTCATTATCAGACCTTGTAAAATTAACAAGAATTCCTTAATATGTCATATCCAGTTAATGATTGACTCATTTCTACTCTAGTTAAAGTACAATTTAGGAGGAGGTTTGAGGATATTTTTTAACATTAAGATATAAATTTTTATGACAACTGCTAAAATAATTGTTGCTAGAGTCTAACATTTCTATTGGCAAATTGGAAATTAGTATACATAGACATAGATTCTGCTCATTTTACTTTCAATCTAAAATTGTAGTTAAGATTACTGGCCAGGTGCGGTGGCTCACACCTGTAATCCTAGCACTTTGGGAGGCAGAGGCGGGTGGATCACAAGGTCAGGAGTTCAAGACCAGCCTGGCCAATGTGGTGAAACCCTGTCTCTACTAAAAATACAAAAAAAATTATTCGGGCATGGTGGCAGGCTCTTGTAACCCCAGCTACTCGGGAAGCTGAGGCAGAGAATTGTTTGAACCCAGGAGGCGGAGGTCGCAGTGAGCCAAGATCGCGTCACTGCACTCCAGCCTGGGCGACAGAGCGAGACTCCGTCTCAAAAAAAAAAAAAGATTACTATGCTAGAAAGTCTTCCTGTAGAGGCATTTTTAAGAAGCATTATGATAGGCATTGCCTCTGGAAAGCAGGCATGAATAGATGGCTGGGGTCTATCATGAGAGAGACCGTTCTCCATATATCACTTTGTACCTTCACATGTTGCCTTTTGTTTTGTTTTGGTCTTTTTTTGAGACAGGACCTTGTTCTGTCACTCAGGCTAGAGTGCAGTGGCATGATCATAGCTCACTATAACCTTGAACTCCTGGGCTCAAGTGATCCTCTTTCCCAGCTCCCCGAGTAGCTGGGTTTGCTGTATGTTGCTATTTTGTATTTTAAAAACCTAATCCTGACTGTGCTGGTAGTTGCATGAATATGTGCACATACATGCAAACAAGTACATGTAAAACTGGTGAAATCTGAATAAGCTTCATGGATTATATCAGTGTCAGTTTCCTGATTCTAACAACGTATGATACTTATGCAAGATGTCATCGAGACAAAGAGAGTAAAGGATATGTGAGATCTTCGTATTATTTCTTACGACTGCAAAATAAAAAGTTTTTAAAACTAAGTTATAATAAAAAAGAACTCTGTGTCAAAACTAAAATATAAAGTAGAAATATCAATTTTATTTTTTAGGAATCTGGTGGACAGTAACAAACTTTGGTGAAATTTCAGGAACCATAGCCATTGAAATGGATGAGGGAACCTATATACATGCACTCGATAATGGTCTTTTTACCCTGGGAGCTCCACACAAAGAAGGTTTGTGTCTGGAAGGGAAGATCCTGCCACAAGTGTAGATTTTAGGACATTCATTCACTTAGGCCAGGCTCTAACTAGTCTCAAACATTTTCCAAAGGAATGGAACCATTGCATTTTACTCTTCCATTTTTTTTAATTCCTTAATATTTACCAGCCATTGGCAAGTCCCTCTTTCTAATATAAGCATTTGAAAACATTCCGTGTAGTTCCAGAAGAGTATCTTTGGAAATAATAAGAATATGAATAATTAAAATAGTAAGTGGAAGGAAAAAAGAAAACCTATTTGAGTCAAACATGTTTGAATTACTTTTTTATTCAGAGCTATTACCAAAACTAACCTGGGTGCATTTAACAATTTGAAGTTTCCTCATTTTCCTTGCCCATTAGAGGAAGCACTAATGAGATACGAAGTAATTAGAAGATAAAAAGCAGTATCATTTGGTCAGCAAGGCCATCCATTGAATAAATGAAAGCATTTAGCTTTTTTAAATAAGTGCTTATTTACGACTGTATTTTAAAACATAAAGAGAAGCTATCTCGAAAGTTATTAAATAAACATTATATCACCCTGTCTTACTCAGTGTATAAAATTAGCACTGTAGTTAAAAGAAGGTAAAATAGATCTTGATTCCAAAGATACAGTATTACAGTGACATCAGTATATCTGAATATTCTTACATTTAATTGCAGAAGAAAATAGCCACATTTTTAAAGCAAAATAATGTCTTTATATTTATAGCAAATGTCAAATTTATTTTCAAATGTTTTTTCTCCAATAGTTGATGAGGGCCCTAGTCCTCCAGAGCAGTTTTCGGCTGTCAAATTATCTGATTCCAGGTGAGCTTAAGTTGTAATATAATTAGTAACCAGTGATTTTAAAAATTTAATTGTATTCATTAAAAATTTTACTATCTGTCTTAAGCCCACGGTAATTTAGATATAAAAAATGAAATAGCTTTTTTGAGAAGTAGATTTTGTGATCTACTTTTAGTGGATTTCCTATCAATATATAATGCTAGGCTGGAAAAATGATATGTAAGTTAAAAAATGAAGATTAATAATTTCACACACCAAATAAGATAGATTATAAAATATATCAAATAGTACAAAACCTGGTTCACTGTTGGTATGATATTTAAACTCACTGTTTCGAAGTCTAAAGACAAACAGGAAGACTAAAAAAAAGGAATATTTGTTGAAACCAGCAGAGAATGTTACAGTATCATAATGACCAAAATAATATTTTTACTCACTATTGTTACAGTCATTTTATAAAGTAACCTTTTTTATTCTCACCTTGTGCAGAAGTATAGAATGATTCTTTGGGTAAAAGATACTGAAAGTGAATTTACATATTTTAGTAATTGGTTACATCAACATGATAATGATTTCTGTTATACAATCATTAACGTATAAAGGAGTAAAAGTCAATTCTGGCATCCGAGGAGATTCTTGGTAAGGTAAAAGAAATCATAATTTTAAAAAATCACATTAAGATGATTATTTCTACTCTTTCTTTGAAAGTCTGATAAGTAGGGTGAAAGACAAAGAATAAAAGCAGAGGAAGAAAAAATTCAATAGTTTTAAACTGCTTTACAATTATAAACAGAAAAGGATTATAAAGAAAATCAACTGACAAATGAGGAAAATATTTGCAACAATCTTAATAGGCAGTGAGTTCTTACTGTTCATATGTATCTTGTATAGAATTCATAGCACTGAAGACCCCAGTAGAAAAATTGCGAACAATCAGATCTGAATAGAAAAATGGACAAGGGACATTACCAGATAATCTAAAAAGTAAAAAGGAAAGGAAAAGAAAAACAATTGTTATTCTAGTTAACTACTAAAATGCAAATTAATAGGATACTGTTTTTTTCATATCAGGTTTTCGAGTATTTTTTTAGAGTCATAATGTTTAAAAAAAAATCCATGATACAAAACATACTCTGTTAATTTGAGGTAAGAATGTAAATGGAAGCAGCATTTTCTGGAAAACAGTTTGATGACATAGTTTTAGTAATTTATTATTGAAGTTTATAACTAAAGAGATATAATTGAAGAATGATGAATTTTGAAAATATTTGTTATGTAATATATAAGGTACAATGTTTATATTAAAAAAGCAAAATATAAAACTAAATTTAAATCTGCAGTGTCCAATATGGCAACAACCAGTCACATGTAGCCTTTTTTTTTTTTTTTTTTTGAAGGCACATAGTCTCACTCTGTCACCCAGGCTGGAGGGCAGTGGTGTGATCATAGCTCACTATAACCTCAAATTTCTGGGCTCAAACACTCCTCCTGCATCAGCCTCCCAAGTAGCTGGTATTACATGTGCACACCACCATGCCCAACTAACTTCTTAAATTTTTTGTAGAGATGGGGTCTCACTATGTTGTCCAGGCTGATCTTGAACTTCTTGCCTCAAGCAATTCTCCCATTGCCTTCCCAAAGCACAGAGATTACAGGAGTGAGTCACCACTCAGCCACATGCATCTTTTGAACACTTGAAATATGTCCAGTCTGAAATTTTAGATATGTACACACCCACACACATACACATGTCCTGTTTTGATGCCCTATAATTAATTTTCTCTCAGTTTTTAACTTTTATCTATCTTATTAATGTACAGAATCACCCTGAAATCTGGCTATGGAAAATATCTTGGTATAAATTCAGATGAACTTGTTGTTGGGCGTTCAGATGCAATTGGACCAAGAGAACAATGGGAACCAGTCTTTAAAATTGTAAGTGCTGTTATTGTTTATAAAAACTCCCTGTCAATTTAACAGAAAGTCTGTAACAGTCAATCATAATATATTTAAAAAGAAAAAGTAGGATGCAATAGTATAATACATTAAATAGGAATAAATCAGTGAGAACATAAAGCCTTAAAGAGATCTCAAAATATAGTGCAACAAAAATAGCATTAGTACTTTTGCCCACAATTATTTCTGTATACCCTTAGTGCCTAGATATGGATCTAATTTCCATTGAAGAACCAGTCAATTTTAGGTCACAGAGTAGGAAAACAGAATTGTTCCTAAGTATCTTCTTTGTAGCAGAAATCATGGATGCTTTCAGAAACATTACAGACTGTAAGTGAACAGTGGAGCTAGCTAAGACCAAGTTGTGACAATTTGCATATAAAATATAAATAATAATAGTTCATTGAAGTAAATTATCTCTAAAAGACTTTCAGTTCATAAGCTTAAAATAGTGTATGAAAAGATTTAATATAAGAAAAAAGATAGTATACTAATTCTTAATTTTAGTAAGTAGTTGTAGTATATGGATGTTTTGTTGATACAGAATACATAATTTCCTTTTTCTGTGTGAGAAGTAAAGATTGAACAAAAATATGTGAGTGCTAAACTGTCTTTAAAAAGTAGATAGCTATATCAAAAACAGTAAGGACCAGTGGGCACCACACAGAACAAGCAAATAGAAGATAAGCTCAGCCTTTGAGTAGCAGCTTTGGTAGTATACAATAATGAACTGAAAATAGGAACTCAGCAGTGTTTTCTAAGATGACAGATTAAACAAACATCCCACCAGAAAGAGGTAATCACTTAGACTAATTTCCTCATCCCCTAGGATAAAATCTTAAGTCAGTGACTTGAAAACTATTTTGACCCAATCCATTGAGAAATGCATTTTTACATTGCAGCCCAGCACACACATATGTATAACTGAAGCAAGAGTTGCACTTAACAATATTTACTTATCCATGTGTTATGCACTTTGATATTTATTATTCTCTTTTACCCTTCCGCTGTGTATCTGTGTGTTTTCCTTCCCCCCCCCCCCCCACCCAATACCATTCAGGAAACACTACATTGATTTCATTACCTGCTAATGTGTTGCAACCCCTTTGAGATGATCCTACTAGTTACGATGAGATGCTTCTAATAAAAGTTACACCAGTAGAAAATGCCAATATTTCATAAGGCCAGGATGATGACTTAGATAGTACTAATAATACAACACTTTAGGAAAGTTCATTTCATTTTATTTTTAGGAAGGACACTAAGTTTCACAAATTTAAATTTAAATGAAAGAGGGTCTTAAAACTCTCTTGCAAAAAGGACTCAGCTGAATAACCTGTGACACAGGTTTAAATCGCCTTGGACCCCAGCACCATGTTCCAGGGCTCACCCAGAGCCATCCAGATGAGAGACCACCCAGCCCTTGTGACTTGACTAAGAAATTAAATCGATGTTATCAGCACATTTTTAACTGGATGTGATATAAGGTTAACATATTTTGTAATCATTGTATTTATAACTATTTTGTCTAAATGTTATGGTATTCCAAGTTTTCCAAAAGAATCAACCAAATACAAGTTATAAATAAATGTTATATTTGTTACAGGAGTTAAGCTAACCAAATTTATAACCCAGATTTAGATACACAAGAAAATCAGTTTTTAAAGTTTTGTTTAATAGAAAGCAGTGTAATACATCAAACATTAAACAACTAAAAATGTATATGAATATTTATTTTCACACACAAAAGTCCCTCAGACATTGATTCTTAAATTAAAAACACCAAAGGCATTGTATATACCTTTTCATGTTTTCTAATTGTGAAGAAAATAAATTTTACTTAAAATGCTAATATTTGAATAAAGTATGCATTCATAATTATGTTCTCATCTTTAAAGTTAATTTTTCAAACAGAACTAAATCAGTTTTATCTTCAGTAGGTCTTTTAGAAAGGAAGCAATCCTACCTCATCTAATTAGAATAGTACTACTAGGAAGATATGCTACAAATGTTTATTGTGGTAATCTTTGAATAGTAAAATGAAAGGTGATTTTGGTTTCCTTTTCTATATGTTCTTTTATTATATTTTTCAGGTTTTTCTCTAAGTTCTTTTCTGTGATTTTTAAATCAGGGAGGAAAAATTAATTCAGTGTAAACACTTAATGTTTCTTCTACAAGAAGTATCCTCATGGCTATTTTGTTATTTTGTTTCACTTAGGGGAAAATGGCTTTGTCGACCTCAAATAGCTGCTTTATTAGATACAGTGAAGCAGAGGACATAGAAGCAAAAAGTAAAACAGCAGGAGAAGAAGAAATGATCAAGGTAATGATGACATTTTATACAGATGACTGCATTCACACATGCGATGTGACTGTATCTCTTTAAAATGTTAAGTCATCATTTACAGTCACTTTAAAGATTTAGTTAATGGCTTTTTATAATGTGGTGTTTCAAATAGAGTCATTTTAAATTATAAATCCCATAGTTGATGGCTTGTTTATACAATGTGGTAGAGAAATCAGTGCATCTAGGAGCTACCTTGCCATTATCTCCATGGATTAGTATCTTTTTCTGGTAGTTCCACGTGCTCTTTTTAAGCTTTCGTTTTCTTGTTTTCTTGCTTGTACTTTAAAATCTAATTTTTAAAATAGATAACGTGTACACGTGGTCCAACATTTTTAAATAAAAGCATATGAAGATGAAGACATATGCCTGCCATGCATCTTACTCACCTGTTTCCCACCTCCTTTTCCTCTTTCCCTTTGTTTTTTTATAGCCTCCTAAAATTTCTTTATAAACATATGAATATATTTATAATTTTCAACTATTTTACACTAAAGACAGCCTCCTCTATAGTCTTCTCGACTTTGATTTTTTTTCCTTAAAATTGTGTCTTGGAGAGTTTTCTACTATTAGTTTGAATGTAGAAAGTTTTCTCTTTTTCTTGCTTTTCCTCTCTTTCTCTCTCTCTCTTTTTTAACAGCCACATAATATTCCATTTTAGGGATGTACCTTAATTTATTTAGTCTTTTGTAGATGGAAATTTAGGCTGTTTCCAGTCTTTTGTTCTTATAAACAGTGCTGCAGTACATAATATTGAATATGCATCAATTTGTAGATGTGCGGGTGGACTTGAAGATAAATTTCCAGAAGCAGAATTGCCAGGTTGGGGTATACACGTTTGTATTTATGTAATGCTTGAGCTTCTGTGATGATAATCACTCTATGAAACATAAAAAATCATAGCAGAACTTCTGGGGCCTTAGCCCTTACATTTTAAAGATATTTTTATTAATAGTACCCATCTTCTTTGCATTAGGAGAAACATGAATCACATAAAACATGATTTTATTTTATTTTTAAAATTTGTGTGCATCACTAAGCTGGAAATAAAAGCTCCTTATTCCAGGCTAAATTCCCTCATCCGTAGTCAGACGCGTTAGCTATTGCACCAGTAGCCTGTGGCCTCCCTAATCCTACTCTTTGTTTTACATCATTGTAAAAGTTATACAGACATCTTCATTTCAAGGTGAAATTCTAAATAATACTGTTAATATAACCTAGACTAATCAGGTAGTTAACTGGAATGTGATGAAAACATTTAAGGCTTAATTTTTTAGACTTACAAAAGCCACTGATCTTTAATGATAAACATATACCAGGATGTGTCTAAAGAATAACTCCCCCCTTCTTGACACATGGCTTTTCTGTGTCTTGGCATTCCATCGCAGTACTGAGCATCCTGAACGTTGCTTTGTTTGTCTCTGTTGGGAGTCACAGGTTGCATCCAGTCTGACCCAGGTTTGCTCTGTAAGGCATTGTGGGGGCCAGAGTGGAAGGCTCTAAGAGAGGGGGCAAATGTCTTTTCTAAAATGCCCTTCGTTCTTATAATTAGAGCATAAAAATTAATGTTACATTTTTCTCTACTACCAGTGTAATTTAAAAGCATCTATCAATTCTCTGTACGTGCTTCATGTTAGATTTCTGGTCATATGTTTGATTTTCTTTTTAGAATAGTCTTGATTTCAGATAATTTCAAATCTAAAGCTCAAACAATTTCAATCTAAAATGTAGGTTTTTCTTACAGTTAGAGAAGTGAAATGTTATATTTTTTCGTTGCATGCATCGGGCACATGTGTTGTAGTCTTGAATTTCCATAATGCTCCTGTGAGGTGGATGTGAGCTCAGCCTTACAGACAGGAAGACAGCCTCTGACCCTCCTTACATCCTCGTGGTTTTTGTCAGTCAGTTCATGGAAATCACAGTGATTTCAAGGTGTGGTAAGACAGGATGTGTACCCAGGCCCAGCTGACTCCAGAGGCCACTCTCCGTATTTCATAGCACATTGCTTCTCAGGAAACAGGTCATTGAGGAAATGAAGATGGGTTTGTGATTACATTTAATTTTATTTATTTATATTTTATTGTATCATGTGTAAATTATTTTACATCTGGATATCATCACAAAAGTGTTATTGAAGGCAACAATTGCAAGTATATGTGCAGTGCTTTGCACTTATACAAAGATACAAAGATACACAAAGATTGAGTTTTTCACTATTTAAAGCAATTTTCAGATGAAATACAAAGTTTTCTGGGTCTCTTTGTTTAGTCAAGTACTTGGAAGCTCTGAACAGTGATTATTTAGGACTCTTTTCATACCATTTAATTGCAGGCTCTCCTAATCTCTGTCAGACCTTCACCTTTATGACCTTGCCTTATCTACCAGAACACAGATCCCTCTTACTAAAGGTAACATTGTGTTACAGGCCCTAGCAGGGAATGTTTTCAGGTCTGGGACCCCTCTAATCAAAACTGTCACAAAGATGTCATTGGCACAAACATGTTATTTGTCATCACTTTCTAAGCAGCCCTGGAACTGGACTCTGGCCACAGAGATCATTTAGGAGACATGAGTCCTTACCATTGCCAATTGCCTGTTCTGTAGACAATCCTAATTGTTGAATGCAGATCAATTAACTAATGATATGTGATAGTAAACATCTGTCCAAACTTAGGAGAATATAAGAAGCCAGTAAAAGAGGTGGGTTCCAATTAATTAAAAACAAGTTGTGTAATGTTAAAAGTTTTAATACTTTGATAATAGTCTGTGCAATGTAAAATAGCTATTAAGCTTTCAGTCTGATCAAATGAACACTTGTCTACTAGGGATAATTTGATCCTAGTGTATTCACTTGGAGGACAAAATTAAATGAATGATTTCTTTATTGCCTAGCAGGATCTGATGTGTAAAATGTTTCTGAAATAATTTTTTCTGTAGTGTTTCTGACACAAGGGCTGCGGAGGAAGCATATGATAGCACTTACTCATATAGATTATATATATGAATTAAAAACACATAGCCAGAACCTGTCTTTTTCTGAATATAGTTGCTCAGTTAATTTTTTCTTCTGCATAAGAAATCATCTCAAATATTCTTATGTGATACGTAAAGTGGGGAAGGTGGAAGATAAACATATAACCCATTGGATTCTCTTTTCCAATATCTAGATTAGATCCTGTGCTGAAAGAGAAACCAAGAAAAAAGATGACATTCCAGAAGAAGACAAAGGAAATATAAAACAATGTGAAATCAATTACGTGTGTGTATGCTTTTCCTTTTAGACCTACAGATTTGACAGTGAAGTGCTTCTCAAAGTGCTTTCAAAATAAATTACCTAATTAGCTGGGGATGGTGGTGCATGCCTGTAGGCCCAGCTACTTGGGAGGCTGAGACAGGAGGATTGTTTGAGCCCAGGAGTTCAAGGCTGCAGTGAGCTCTGATCACCACTGCATTCCAGCCTGGGTGACAGAGCAAGATCCCGTCTGAAAAAATAAAAACTGATGGACAAGAAGAAGCAACACGATGTAGCCTCTAGGACAGAGCACTGAGCTAAATTCTTTTCTTTTCTTGAGGGTTCAGTTTTCCTAATCATCCTACCAGCTCCCAAAGGTACTCAGTCGGGTTAGTCAACCTCTCTATTCATTCATAGAATGGGCGTGATGCCAGTCAAAGGCTGTTCTCTGGCTAGGACACAGGGGACTCCAGCCAGCATGCCCTAATAGAAGTGGGGCTTTGTGCTACCCAGTCAATGAGTGGCCCTCCTCTTGAGAGGTCACAAAGTTCATCTTGTTGTTCAAAAGCTCCAGCTTATTAAAAAAAATGTACAATTAGACTTTTTTTTTTTCTCCCCCAAGACGGAGTCTCGCTCTGTCCCCCAGATTGTAGTGCTGTGCCATGATCTCAGCTCATCGCAACCTCCGCCTCCCAGGTTCATGTGATTCTCCTGCCTCAGCCTCCCGAGTAGCTGGGACTACAGGCACAAGCCACTGCCCTCGGCCAATTTTTGTATTTTTAGTAGAGACGGGGTTTCACCATGTTGGCCAGGCTGTTCTCGAACTCCTGACCTCAAGTGATCTGCCTGCCTTGGCCTCCCAAAGTGCTGGGATTGCAGGCGTGAGCCACTGCGCCTGCCCTACAATTAGACTTTTTTAATAAGTGAAAAAGAAATTAACAGTATTTATAAATTTAATAGTAAATATGTATAATCAGAGTTTGAGGTATTTTTCAATGAAGACATTTTCTTTGCAGAAAGAAATTTCAGAGCTTCCAAGACCACAAACTTAAAATAAGTAAAGAAGAGAGTAAAATTCTTAAAAAGGCTCAGAAAGATGGATTTTTGCATGAAACGCTTCTGGACAGGTAGCTATTTACTTATTTTCACTATTTTTCAGTAGCCAATAGAAATGGCATGTAGAAAAGCTATATTCTCTTAAATTACTGTAGTTTTCACATTTTTGTCTTTATTTATAATTTATGAGTGTGGCAATATTACCTAGAGAGGACATCATGAGTTTGGGAAAAGACTGTCAAGAAAGAATATCTAAAAATTATAACCGATTCTAAGTATATACTTTAAGAAATTCAGGTTTGACTGTATCTACTTCATAAATTTATCATTATCTTTTTATAACTATTAGAACCAGAGTTAGAAAGAAGCAGTTTGACTAATACAAAAATTATGTGGATTCTGTTAGAGTAGTTCAGGTTCCTTAAAATAAGCATATATCAACTAAAAAACTAAGTATAAAAGCTAAATAAGTGAAATTGAAGCAGTTTTATTGTAAGATTTGGAAGAGTGCAGGATGTTTATCATAGCACATTATTAATATTTATTATTCTTCCTATGTAGATAAGTGATGGCCTAGATTTACAACATAGAAAAACAGGTAGAGACGTTTAGCTGTGAGTGTACAAGCATAAATCAGTTAAGTGCCAGATGTTGATAATCACCAGCTGCTCATTCAAGTCCTATGTTGCAAAGTTACTCTTACCCTTTTTTTACATTACTTGATAAAGGCAATGTTTAATTATGTATTTCCTGTTAACTAGCTGGTAGAGTTCATACCTAAAGTCAGTAAATAATGTTAAGAATTTTTTCCAGCTGAGCAAATGAATATGTGTCTAGTTGTAAGAAATCAAGAAGAGGATATAAAATATAATCAGGATATGGACTCTAAAACGGAATAAGCTCTGTGTCCTGTAACTTTTTTCACTTGTAATAATACAGCATTCTCACCCTGTTAAATGGAAATTTAGAGCACCCTTAAATTCCAGAATAATTAAAATTGCTATTTGGATTGAAAAGCCCTTAGGCAACATTTATTGAATATTAGGAAATAACTTTTATAAGATTAGAATCCATTTTTTATGGAAACCCAATTTAAAAGTATACATGTTTTAATATAAGTGTTGTGGTAATACAATAACCAAAATTGAACACACAGTTTTAAAGCTTTTTATATTTAGTAGCAGTTGAATATATATGGCATGTTTTACATAGATTAATTTTACTATTTTTCTTTATTTAAAAAAGAGAACCAAATTGAAAGCCGACAGATACTGCAGATGACTGGGATTTTTGTTTCTGTCTTACCTTTTTGTGTTTTTTTTCTGAATAAAATATTCAGAGGAAATGCTTTTACAGAGTTCTTGAGTTGTTGTGAAATTATTGTTTAGCTAGTAGCTAGTATAACCAGGATTAAACAAGTTTAATCAGGATTCTTCATGGATGTACTTTTTAGCTAACTACAGTTTTTCACATGGAAATGAAACTTACAGTACACATTTAACGTACCACAGAATTTTTTTCTGTATTTCCTGTCCTGAAGCATGAAGTGTACTAGAAACCAACTCTTCCTGCGCTACTTGTGGAATCTTTCTTAATGGATCATAATCTTACTTTACTTTAAACAATAGATGCTTAATCAGTGCCTTTCATAGGAAGTTAGAAACTCCCAATCCAATCAACAAGGCTTTGATTCTACCTCCTAAGTACTGCCCAGATCACAGACAATCCAAATATCAGAACTAGGGGGCTGGACAGAGAGGACAAATCATCTATTAGGGAGTGGGACAGAAAGTGGAAACACTATAAAGGAGCAAGTAGGCTCAGAACAGAGGGGAGAGTAGTACTGGGGAAACTCCCTACTGAGGACAGGTTTGCCACAGTGGGTATGTATGTGATGCTTTTGTCCTCGTGGGCTGGAATGGAAGCTGATAAAGAAGTTCAGACGCTACGTGTTGCTTAGGTCTGCTTTGTTGAAGCCTGTCTCTTTCAGAGTACCTAAACACAATATTCCCGTGGCATCTAATCCCAGTGAGTGCTCCAAATCCAGGCTGTGTATCAGATGCCACGGGAAATTCTGCCTCAGGACTGAGGTTGGTTCAAGCATCTGGATGATGTCAAAAGTCCACGTTGTGTGCTGGCCTAACCTGAAAGAACCTATCTAGTTCTAGCCTTAAATTCCTTCTGTCACCAAATCTAGAGTTACATGGCATCTGTACAAGCTAGGTAGCTGAGGCATGGGATCAGCCCTATAAAGGAGCTTTTGGAGCTTTTTTTGTAGGCCTAGCTTCAACTTGGCACTCCAGTTCCAATAGCTGGACTTTCTCTCGTCGTGTGTTCTGATCCTTGGATTGGGAACAAAGTAACCACTCTGATCCCACAAAGCAGTGGTTCCGGTTCCCAACTGGTGACTATTTTGCCTCCGAGGGGACATTTTTGGTTTTCACAACTGGAATACGGTGTTAGAGAGTAGAGGCTAGGGATGCTGCAAAGCATGCGGCAGAATCCTGTTCTGCCCAGAATGCTAACAGTGTCAAGGTTATGGAGCCTTCCCACCCAAGGGCTTGGTCTATTCCTTGCTTTTGCCAGCTCCCTAACCCTTAAACACAACAGTTCAAATCTATATGCATAAGCATCTCCTAGGAACCTGCACGTTTCCAATATCGACTACTGAGACCCATCCGTAGAGATGCAGGCTTAGGAGGTCTAGGATTGGGCTCAAAATTTGCATTTTAACAAGTACTCCAGGTCATTCTGAGCAAGTGATACAAACCACAGAATGAGGAACACCACCTTCAAGAGACTGAATCTTGCTTCACAACACTAGCTTGGTACCTGAGACCATCTGCCTGCTGACTGGCTTTCCTGGCACAAACATTCTGCATGTAGGCACAGTGTGTTCTTGGACTCCATGTCAACCCGTTCACCCTCATGTTCCCTTGGTTCCTGTCCCCAGTCCAGCGAGCAGAACTGATTACAGATCTTGACAACAGAAGATACAGATTTAAAATAACTTGCCTGTTCCCGTGGACTTTATCCACTAGTGAAGCAGGACAAGTGGACAAGGGGAGAGGGCAGGTGTGGGCTCCTTCCCTATTCCTCCCATTCCACTTTATACAAATCCCAGCTAGACAACTGGGAGAGCAACGGAGGTTAAGAATGACTGCATCTAAATATTGTCATCTGGTCCACTCTTCTTCCATCTTGTACACAAGGATATCATGAGTTTTGTTTAAAGCACTACTGAAACCAAGATAAACTCTGGCTTAGCATGCCCCTGATGGATCAGTCTAGTAATCTTATCAAAACCAAGATTACCTAAAAGCATTAACCAAAGGAAAATCTCCCTCACCCCAACCTATGACTGCTCACATTTTTCAGATTGAATCATTTCAATTGTATTTTAAGGTTCATTGACTCTTTTCCACCTCCAAGCTGCTCCTGAACACAACTGATTATTATTTTTTAATTTTGAAAACGTTCTCACTTCTAGAATTTCCACTTGAGCCTTTGTTATTATTGTAGTTTCTTCTTCTCTGCTGTGATTTCCATCCATTTATTTTACGGGTTTTTGGGGTTTTGATTTTAGTAAGAATTACAATAACTAACTACTTTAAAAATCCACACTAATTCCAACATCTGGGTCATCTCGAGGTTAGTCTCTATTGATTGCCTTTTTCTTTGAATATATTTCTTTATATGTTTGATATAATGGGATTGAATTCTGAAGATTGTAAAACTAGATTTTGTTTTGTTCCTCTGAATATTTTGATAATTTTTTGTTGTATTTTGTTTGATTTTTTTTCTATTGTATACTTTACAATATATTTTCCTCCAATGGTTTTAACATTTCTATTTCTCAAAATATTTATGTTTATGTTAAAAATTATACAAAGTAGCTTGGTGCAGTGGCTTCCATCTGTAATCCCAGAAGTTTTAGAGGCCAAGGCAGGAGGGTCACTCGAGCCCAGGAGCTGGAAACCAGCCTAGACAACAGGACAAGACCCTGTCTCCACAAAGAATTATTAGGGTGGTGCAAAAAGTAATTGCAGGTTTTGCCATTACTTTCAAGGGCAAAACCCGCAATTACTCTTGCACCAACCTGCTAAAAAATAAGCTGGGTATGGTGGTGGCATGTGCCTGTGGTCTCAGCTATTTGGGAAGTAAAGGCAGAGGTGGGAGGATTGCTTGAGACCAGGAGTTCCAGACCAGCCGGAGACCCTGTCTCTATGAGAAAAAAAAAAAAAAAATTAGCTGGGCCCATGTACCTGTGATACTAGCTACTTGGGAGGGAAAGGCAGAGGTGCCAGAATCACTTGAGCCCAGAAGTTCAAGGCTGCAGGGCACTGTGATTGTGCCACTGCACCCCAGCCTGGGTGATGGAGCACGACCCTGACTCCAAATAATAATAATAATTACAAAAAGGAAAGACCTAGAACACCAGGTTATGGTTAAGTATTCTAAAATTGAGCTGACTTACTCTGTTCTCTATAAAACAGGTTGCCACAGAAAATATAGCATGCCCAGTTAATTTGAAATTTCAGATAAACAAATACTTTTTTCAGTGTAAGTATATCCCATACAATATTTGGGACATGCTTATACTAAAATATTATGCCTTATTTATCTGAAATTGAAATTTAACTGGGTATTACATAATTAGAGCAGCCTGACCATAAAAGATATGTAGGCTGAGCAAAATTCTACTTTAAACTTGAAGCTTTATAATAAATGCATTATTCATCAAGAACTATTATTTACTGAGACCTGTGTAGATCCCCATATTTATCTTTTTAAATGTGGAACTAGGAAAGCTACATAAAGAACATTTATAGAAATAAATTACTGTTCTATAGCTGAAAGGAAAACTCTAGCTTTTATTTTTCTCCCCATACTTAAGCTTTATTCTACATTTGTATAAACAATAAAATTACAGCTCAACTTTGAAAGCACAGATCATAATATAAAAATAAAGCAAAGATCCCAGAAACATTTAACAGGAAACAAATCTTTCACATAATCTTACTATAGCAACTAAACATATAATAACTTAGAATGATCCATTAATTATAAGTAAAGAATAAATTCTTTTACAAAGCATAACTATTAATATTGACCATCATAAGAGCACATATTTTAAGTAAAACACCATGAATACTTTACAGAAAGGAGCGAGTTGCAGATACAGTCATTCTTGGATTTCTTTCAACACCAGGCTTTCTTCCCTTTTGACCTGAACTGGGAGTTGAATATTTCCTCTCTGCCCTCTGACCCTCTAGTCTCTGAAGCATCTTTTGTACTAGAGGTATGTGCAGAGACTTCCTGGAAATTTGGATTTGTAAATTGTGCTGTTGTATCTTCTAGGCACTGCAGTGATCCAGATATAGAGCTGTTGCTCTTGCTTGTATAAGTGTAACATTTTGATTCAAAAAAGGAAGTAAAAGGAAGACAGTTGATTACATTTGGCTACTGACATTAATAATAATAAATAATAATTGTACTTGTAATATAAACATCTGAAAGTTTTAGTTCTAAGAATGGCTGTCCACATAAGAAAATTATGTAAAAATAATTAATGTCTATTATAATTTATTTAACCAAAGAAAAAGTATAATTTAAAGATGACTCTTTAAGGATCAAATTGCAACAATTGGTAAAAGTAGATATTAGTCATATTTATTAAGTGACACACAGTAATACTGAAGGCACTTATTTCTCAAGAAACATCATTTTTTCCAAAAAAGAACATACTACATCCTAAACATGAAATGAAAATAAGCTTTAATTTTCACCACAGGAGGGCGACAGTCAGAGAACTGAGGTAGTACAGATCCATTAGAGGACCATATCCATGAGTCTATCAGTCTCTACTGTAGGACAGAGCAAGAATTTTTAAAGAATCTCGGTGAAGGCTCCTTTTCAAAAAAATACAAAGATTAAAGCCTTTGAAACGTAAATTATTTTTTCCAGTTATTACATTGAGGACAAAGTTATATTGCAAAGTTAAGATTTTTATAACTATCCCTAAAATTGATTCTCAGTGACTCCCTTGATCTACATATGTTAAGGAAAAAGTCAAGATGAAGATGTGTTAAATATTTTCCAGTTTTTAATAATCAGTTTTAATATAAGGTGTACCCAAATAATGGTTAATTAAATGACAATGAAAGTATGTTATAGCAGATGCTCACTCATCAACATGCCTTGAAATTAAAAGTTTATAAAGTGCATAAGGGCAAAGTTTTTGATGTTGCCATTACATTCACAAAAGTATCTGAGGCACGTACAGCATGAAGTTCACTAAGTGCTTGCAACATAACCAGCACTAAATTTTGTTGAATAAATACATGAATACTTTTGTATAGCATCTGTTCAAAATCTCTGAGGTAAAAATGAAAATAATCAGAAAATATGCAAAACTGAAATTTCCCACATACGGCTGCCAATTCGTACAAACAATAAGATGAATTTCAAAATGAGAACATGACAATAAAATCAAGTTTCAAAATGCCTGGCCTTTTTTTTAGCAAAACCCATGTTCAAAAAAAGGAATAAGACATCAAATGTTTTGAGAACCAAAATTTTACTGCTGCTTTTCTAACACCCTGTTGTTAACTTGAGCCCCCATCCTCTTACTGTCAATAACAGATTTTCATCATCAAATACAAGAAACAGGCAGGGCACGGTGGCTCACACCTGTAATCCCAGCACTTTGGGAGGCTGAGGCGGGTGGATCACATGAGGTCAGGAGTTTGAGACAAGCCTGGCCAACATGGTGAAACCTCATCTCTACTAAAAATACAAAAATTATCTGGGTGTGGTGGCAGGCGCCTGTAATCCCAGCTAATCAGGAGGCTGAGGCAGGAGAATCGCTTGAACCTGGGAGGTGGAGGGTGCAGTGAACTGAGATCGAGCAACTGTACTCCAGCCTGGGCGACAGAGCAAGACTCTGCCTTAAAAAAATAAATACACAACATAACAATCTCTCGGACACATTCAAATCAGTGTGTAGAGGGAAATTTATAGCACTAAATGCCCACAAGAGAAAGCAAGAAAGATCCAAAATTGACAACCTAACATCACAATTAAAAGAACTAGAAAAGCAAGAGCAAACACATTCAAAAGCTAGCAGAAGGCAAGAAATAACTAATATCAGAGAAGAACTGAAGGAAATAGAGACACAAAAAACCCTTCAAAAAATTAGTGAATCCAGGAGCTGGTTTTTTGAAAAGATCAACAAAATCGATAGACCGCTAGCAAGACTAATAAAGAAGAAAAGAGAGAAGAATCAGATAGGTGCAATAAAAAATGATAAAGGGGATATCACCACCGATCCCACAGAAATACAAACTACCATCAGAGAATACTACAAACACCTCTAGGCAAATAAACTAGAAAATCTAGAAGAAAGGGATAAATTCCTCGACACATACACCCTCTCAAGACTAAACCAGAAACAAGTTGAATCTCTGAATAGACCAATAACAGGCTCTGAAATTGTGGCAATAATCAATAGCTTACCATCCAAAAAAAGTCCAGGACCAGATGGATTCACAGCCGAATTCTACCAGAGGTACAAGGAGGAACTGGTACCATTCCTTCTGAAACTATTCCATTCAATAGAAAAAGAGGGAATCCTCCCTAACTCATTTTATGAGGCCAGCATCATCCTGATAACAAAGCCTGGCAGAGACACAACCAAAAAAGAGAATTTTAGACCAATATCCTTGATGAACATTGATGCCAAAATCCTCAATAAAATACTGGCAAACCAAATCCAACAGCACATCAAAAAGCTTATCAACCATGATCAAGTGGGCTTCATCCCTGAGATGCAAGGCTGGTTCAACAGATGCAAATCAATAAATGTAATCCAGCATATAAACAGAACCAAAGACAAAAACCACATGATTATCTCAATAGATGCAGAAAAGGCCTTTGA
The DNA here is from genome assembly GCF_000001405.40 of Homo sapiens. Lineage (NCBI taxonomy): Eukaryota > Metazoa > Chordata > Mammalia > Primates > Hominidae > Homo > Homo sapiens. The sequence goes on along the minus strand of NC_000020.11, from coordinate 28,574,050 downwards.
CAAAATTCAACAACATTCATGCTAAAAACTCTCAATAAATTAGGTATTGATAGGACATATCACATAATAATAAGAGCTATCTATGACAAACCCACAGCCAGTATCATACTGAATAGACAAAAACTGGAAGCATTCCCTTCGAAAACTGGCACAAGACAGGGATTCCCTCTCTCACCACTCCTATTCAACATAGTGTTGGAAGTTCTGGCCAGGGCAATCAGGAAGGAGAAGGGAATAAAAGGTATTCAATTAGGAAAAGAGGAAGTCAAATTGTACCTGTTTGCAGATGACATGATTGTATATCTAGAAAGCCCCATTATCTCAGCCCAAAATATCCTTAAGCTGATAAGCAACTTCAGCAAAGTCTCAGGATACAAAATCAATGTACAAAAATCACAAGCATTCTTATACACCAATAACAGACAGAGAGCCAAATCATGAGGGAACTCCCATTCACAATTGCTTCAAAGAGAATAAAATACCTAGGAATCCAACTCACAAGGGATGTGAAGGACCTCTTCAAGGAGAACTACAAACCATTGCTTAATGAAATAAAAGAGGATACAAACAAATGGAAGAACATTCCTTGTTCATGGGTAGGAAGAATCAGTATCATGAAAATGGCCATACTGCCCAAGGTAATTTATAGATTCAATGCCATCCCCATAAAGATACCAATGACTTTCTTCACAGAATTGGAAAAAACTAGTTTAAAGTTCATGTGGAACCAAAAAAGATCCCGCATCGCCAAGTCAATCCTAAGCCAAAAGAACAAAGCCGGAGGCATCACACTGCCTGACTTCAAACTATACTACAAGGCTACAGTAACCAAAACAGCATGGTACTGGTACCAAAACAGAGACGTAGATCAGTGGAACAGAACAGAGCCCTCAGAAATAATGCCACTTATCTACAACCATCTGAACTTTGACAAACATGACAAAAACAAGCAATGGGGAAAGGATTCCCTATTTAATAAATGGTCCTGGGAAAACTGGCTAGCCATATGTAGAAAGCTGAACCTGGATCCCTTCCTTCCACCTTATACAAAAATTAATTCAAGATGGATTAAAGACTTACATGTTAGACCTAAAACCATAAAAACCCTAGAAGAAAACCTAGGCAATACAATTCAAGACATAGCCATGGGCAAGGACTTCATGTCTAAAACACCAAAGGCAATGGTAACAAAAGCCAAAATTGACAAATGGGATCTAATTAAACTAAAGAGCTTCTGCACAGCAAAAGAAACTACCATCAGAGTGAACAGGCAACCTGCAGAATGGGAGAAAATTTTTGCAACCTACTCATCTGACAAAGGGTTAATATCCAGAATCTACAATGAACTCAAACAAATTGACCAAAAAACAAAACAAAACAAAACAAAATCAAAAAGTGGGCAAAGGATATGAACAGGCACTTCTCAAAAGAAGACATTTATGCAGCCAAAAAACACATGAAAAAATGCTCACCATCACTGGCCATCAGAGAAATGCAAATCAAAACCACAATGAGATATCATCTCACACCGGTTAAAATGGTGGTCATTAAAAAGTCAGGAAACAACAGGTGCTGGAGAGGATGTGGAGAAATAGGAACACTTTTACACTGTTGGTAGGACTGTAAACTAGTTCACCCATTGTGGAAGTCAGTGTGGTGATTCTTCAGGGATCTAGAACTAGAAATACCATTTGACCCAGCCATCCCATTACTGGGTATATACCCAAAGGACTATAAATCATGCTGCTATAAAGACACATGCACACGTATGTTTATTGTGGCACTATTCACAATAGCAAAGACTTGGAACCAACACAAATGTCCAACAATGATAGACTGGATTAAGAAAATGTGGTACATATACACCATGGAATACTATGCAGCCATAAAAAATGATGAGTTCCTGTCCTTTGTAGGGACATGGATGAAGCTGGAAACCATCATTCTCAGCAAACCATCACAAGGACAAAAAACCAAACACCGCATTTTGTCATTCATAGGTGGGAATTGAACAATGAGAACACATGGACAAAGGAAGGGGAACATCACTCTGGGGACTGTTGTGGGGTGGGGGGAGGGGGGAGGGATAGCATTAGGAGATACACCTAATGCTAAATGACGAGTTAATGGGTGCAGGACACCAGCATGGCACATGTATACATATGTAACAAACCTGCACGTTTTGCACATGTACCCTAAAACTTAAACTATAATAAAAAAATAAAAAGTCAAGAAACAATAGATGCTGGCAAGGCTGTGGAGAAATAAACACTTTTACACTGTTGGTAGAAATGTTAATTAGTTCAATCATTGTGGAAGACAGTTTGGCAATTCTGCAAGGATCTAGAACCAGAAATACCATTTGACCCAGAAATCCCATTACTGGGTATATATCCAAAGGACTATAAATCATTCTATTATAAAGATGCATGCACGGGTATGTTTATATCGGCACTATTCCCATTAGGAAAAACATGGAATCAATCCAAATGCCCATCAGTGATAGACTGGATAAAGAAAATGTGGTACATACACGCCATGCAATACTGTGCAACCATAAAAAGGAATGAGATCATGCCTTTTGCAGGGTCATGAATGAATCTGGAAACCATCATCTTCAGCAAACTAATACAGGAACAGAAGACCAAACACCACATGTTCTCATTCATAAGTGGGAGCTGAATAATGAGAACACCTGGACACAGGGAGGGGAAGAACACACACTGGGGCCTGTCAGTGGGGACGGGGAGGGAGAGCATCAGGATAAATAGCTAACGCATGTGGGGCTTAATACCTACGCACCTAGGCAGTGGGTTGATAGGTATAGCAAATCATCATAGTGCACGTTTACCTACGTAACAAACCTGCATCTCCTGCACATGTATCCTGGAACTTAAAATAAAATTTAAAAAAAAATAAAAAGAAAACAGAAGAGTACTGAAAATTGGCTCACAGTTCCACAGCCTGTACAGCAAGCATGATGCTGACATCTGCTCGGCTTCTGGGGAGGACTCAGGAAACTTAACAATCATGGTGGAAGGGAAAGCAAGAGCAGGAGGAAGAGAGAGAGGGGGAAGATCCTACACACTTTAAACAACAAGATCTCTTGAGAACTCTATCACAAGAGCAGTGCTAGAGGGATTATGCTTATCCATTAGAAACTGCTCCCATGGACCAGCCACCTCCCAGCAGGCCCCATCTCCGACAGTGGGAACCACTGGAGGCTGCTCCCATGGACCAGCCACCTTCCAGCAGGCCCCTTCTCCGACACTGGGAACCACTGGAAACTGCTCCCATGGACCAGCCACCTCCCAGCAGGCCCCATCTCCGACACTGGGGATTACATTTCTATAGAAGTTTTCAATAATTTTGGAACACATACTAATAATATATTTATAAAAATACAGTCCAAAGTAGACCAAACACCATTCACTCTCCTATTTGAAAGTTTTCCCTCTTCTAATATCACAATCTCCAGCGTCATTAATCAGAATCCTGCATTTAAGGGCATCTGTTAAATTTTATAGCTGATTATAAAACCATCATTTAAAGAGGACCAAAATGAGACAACAATTGTCTGTGGATGATAAAAACATTAAGGGTAGCCACAGTTAAACACACGAACAACAGCCTTTAAAGTAGAATTTGCTTTAGAGCCTATTATGAGGGAGATATTTTTAGTTATTACCTCTTATATTCTAAACCATGGAAAAAGGGACTATCAAATTAAGTCCTTCTAGAAGAGTGAAGGGCTCCTGGCAATGTTTTCTTTAATCCATGATGTGGGATAAATGGAGTTTTGACTGATTATGAGGCAATGTATATACCACTAAAGTTTCAACACCCTAAAAGGGAAAAAAGGGGGTGAGAGAAGTCCTGGAAGAACCAGATGGAGCCGTAGCAGAAGATGATTTCAATCCACTGACCCCTGAATTGTGGGCTGGTTGTGCTGCATCGCTCTGTGACTTATGGTTCTGCCGCAACAAAGATCTAATTCCCAGGGTTATAGGAAAAGACACCTGTGGTACCCCTGAGGCAGAGAGAAGGGAGAAATCCAAACCTGACTTAAGTCTAGGGTTCTAAAATGACACAATCTGCTCACAAGGAGGACCTTAACTCTGAAGACACTGATTTGGGTCTGTTTCAAAGAAAGAAATTATAAATATGAGTGGGAAAGAGAACAACCTTCCCCATATCCAGCGGCAAAAAAATGAGGGAAAGGGAAGGAAGGAAGTAAGGAGGGAAGGAAGGAGAGAGGGAAGGAAGGAAGGAAGTAGGGAGGGAGGGAGGGATGGAAGGAAGGAAGGAAGGAGAGAGGGAAGGAAGGAATGAAGGAAGGAAGGAGAGAGGAAAGGAGGGCAGGAAGGAAGGAAAGAAGGAAGAGAGGGAAGGAAGGAAGGAGGGAGGGAAGGAAGGAAGGAGAGAGGGAAGGAAGGAAGGAAGGAAGAAAGGAAGGAAAGAGGGAAGGAGAAGGAAGGCAGGAAGGAAGGAAGGAAAGAGGGAAGGAAGGAAGGAAATATGGAAAGAAGGAAGGAAGGAAGGGAAGGAACTTGGATATGCACAAAAACAAAATTTAAATTAAAACGGAAGTCTATCATCTGACCTAATTGGACATGTACTATTTTCTAAAACAATTTATACAGTCCAAAGATAAAAGTGTGCTGATTGGTATTTGTAACTCTCCAGCATATATTCTGAATCAATTTTAACATCTGCTGAAATCTACCAATTGGCATACCTTCACAAACTTAATCAATACTGGAGCTCAAACTTTGTTATACCTGAGATTTCACTAAATTTAAACATTGCATCCCCTAATCCTAGCAGAGTAACTGCATATAGAATAGAGGACACATAGTTATGCCTCACATTTTTTACCTTGACTAAATTTCCAGTAGTCGTAGAAGCCTTTGTCCATAGGGGACCTGGATGCTCTGAACTAATGAGTAACAAATTGATATTAAATCATTTGCACTTACACATTGACTTCACCAAATGTAACCTTACAGAACTCCCTCTCCTGTTTTTTTTTTAAATTTGATTTATTTTTAATTTTTCATTTTTTTAGAGATGAGGTTTTGCTCCACTACCCCGGCTGAATGAAGTGTGGTGGCACAATCATAGCTCACTGCTGCCTTGAACTCCTGGGCTCAAGCAATCCTCCCATTTTAGCCTTCCAAGTAGCTGGGATTACAGGCATGCACCAACACAGCCAATTAAAAAAAATTATAGAAGTGGAGTCTTGCTATGTTGCTTAGGCTGGTCTCTAACTTCTGGCCTCAAGCAATCCTCCTGCCTCGGCCTACCAAAGTGCTGGGATTACAGGTGTGGGCCATCGTGCCCAGCCTCCCCATCTTGATAAATTAGCAAATATGGTCCAACATAAATTACAACATGACTTCAAATAAATAAAACTTATTATATAAGACCTAATTAATTAGTGAAGGGGTGATAATTCTCATTGCTTCAACGTTTAGCAGTAGAATTTGGCCTTTTCTTAAACCTGCAAATAATAAATGGTGTTTCACAGTGGATTGCTGTAATGTGACTGCAGTGCTCCCATCCATTAAGGCCCTCGTACCCAAATGCCTAATATTGTGGTTAATTTTTTTTTTATTTCAATAGGTTTTTGGGAAACAGGTGGTGTTTGGTTACAGGAATAAGTTCTTTAGTGGCAATTTCTGAGATTTGTGGTGCACCTATCATCCAAGCAGTGTACACTGTACCCAATGCGTAGTGTTTCATCCCTCACTGCACCCACCCCACCACTGCCAGCCTTTCCCTGAGTCCCCGAAGACCATTGTATCATTCTTATGCCTTTACATCCTCATAGCTTAGCTCTCACTTATGAATGAGAATACACAATGTTTGGTTTTCCATTCCTAAGTTGCTTCATTTAGAATAATGGTGTCCAGTTTCATCCAGGTTGCTATGAATGCATTATTTCATTCCATCTTATGGCTGAGTAGTATTCCATGTGGTAAATATTTATACCACATTTTATTTATCCACTTACTGATTGATGGGCATTTAGGCTGGTTTCAAATTCTTCCAATTGCATATTGTGCTGCTATAAACATGCGTGTGCAAGTATCTTTTTCATATAATGGTTTATTTTCCTCTGAGTAGATACCCAGGAGTGGAATTACTGGATCAAATGATAGATCTGCTTTTAGTTCTTTGGAAATTTCCTCACTGTTTTCCATAGCTGTTGTACTAGCTTACATTCCCTCCAAAAAGTGTAAAAGTGTTCCCTTTTTACCACATCCATGCCAACATCTATTAATTTTTGATTTTTTGATTATGACCATTCTTGCAGGAGTGAAGGGGTATCATATTGTATTGTGGTTTTGATTTGCATTTCCCAGATAATTAGTTATGTTGAACATTTTTTCATGTGTTTGTTGGCCAGTTGCTTATCTTCTTTTGAGAATTGTCTGTTCATGTCCTTAGCCCACTTTTTGATGGGATGTTTTTCTTGCTGGTTTGTTTGAGTTCCTTGCAGATTCTGGGTATTAGTCCTTTAATCAGAAGTACAGATTACGAAGATTTTCTCCCACTCTGTAGGTTATCTGTTTACTCTGCGGATTATTTCTCTTACTGCGCAGAAGCCTTTGAGTTTAATTAAGTCTCATCTATTTATCTTTGTTTTAGTCGCTTTTGCTTTTTGGGTTATTGGTCATGAAGTCTTTGCCTAAGCCAATGTCTAGAAGGGTTTTTCCAATGTTGTCTTCTAGAATTTTTATGGTTTCAGATATTAGATTTAAGTCCTTGATCCATCTTGAGTTGATTTTTGAATAGGGTGAGAAATGAGCATCCACTTTCATTCTTCTATGTGTGGCTTGCCATTTATCTCAGCACCATTTGTTGAATAGGGTATTCTTTCTCTGCTTTATGTTTTTGTTTGTTTTGTTGAAGATTAGATGACTGTAAGTATTTGGCTTTATTTCTGGGTTCTCTATTATGTTCCATTGATCTATATGGCTATTTTTATACCAGTACCATGCTGTTTTGGTGACTATGGCCTTCTAGTATAGTTTGAAGTCGGCTTCTAGATTTGTTCTTTTTGCTTAGTCTTGCTTTGGCTATACAGACTCTTTTTTGGTTCTAGGCTTTTACTACCTTAAGGTATGTCCCTTCTATATCTTTTTTAGTTCCATGTGAATTTTTGTAGTTCTGTGAAGACTGATGTTGGTACTTTAATGGGGATTGCATTGAGTTTGTAGATTGCTTTTGGCAGTATGGTATTTTCACAATATTGATGTTACCCATCCGTAAGCATGGGATGTGTTTCCATTTTTTTGTATCTATGATTTCTATCAGCAGTGTTTTATAGTTTTCCTTGTAGACGTCTTTTGTCTTTTTGGTTAAGCATTCCGGATATAATTAAGATTTTGTCTGCAAAGATTGCATGCAATTGACAATTATAGGAATATACTATTATAATTATAGGAATTATAATATTCCTAAGGTTTTTATTGCAGCTATTGTAAAAGGGGGTGAGTTTTTTATATAATTCTCAGCTTGTTCACTATTACTGTATAGCAGAGCCACTGACTTGTGTACATTAATTTTGTATCCTGAAACTTTGCTGAATTCATTTACCAGTTCTAGTAGCTTTTGGGATGAGTCTTTAGGGTTTTTTAGGTATACGATCATGTCATCAGCAAAGAGTGACAGTTCGATTTCCTCTTTACCGATTTGGATGCCCTTTATTTCTTATCTGATCGTTCTGGCGAGGACTTCTAGTACTGTGTTGAATAGAAGTGGTGAAAGTTGGCATCATTGTCTTGTTCCAGTTCTCAGGGGGAATGCTTTCAACTTTTCCCCATTCCATATAATGTTGTCTGTGTTTGTCATATATGGCTTTTATTACCTTAAGGTATGTCCCTTCGATGTTGATTTTGCTGAGGGTTTTAATCACAAAGGGATTCTGGATTTTGTAAAATGCTTTTTCTATGTCAGTTTTGCTGAGGGTTTTAGGCATAAAGGGATGCTGGATTTTGTCAAATCCTTTTTCTGCATGTATTGAGATGATCATGTGATTTTTGTTTTTAATTCTATTTATATGGTGTATCACATTTATTGACTTGCAGATATTTAACCATCCTGCATCCCTGATTTGTCTTCAGATCGTATACATCTTTCGCCTTATGATGGTTAATTTTATTTGCCAAGTTGGGTTGCCTAGATATTTGGTTAAACACTCTGGATGTGTCTGTGAGGGTGTTCCTTGATGAGACGAACATTTGAATATGTAGACTTAGTAAAGTAGTTGCCCTCCCCAGTGTGAGTGGGCCTCATCCAATCCATTAAAACCCAAATAAAACACAAGGGTAGAGGAAGAGAGAATTCACTCTCTGATGATTTCAGAGCTGAGACATAGATCTTCTCTCGCCTTTGAAGTCAGACGTGGACTGTAACTTATGCCATCAGCTTTCCTGGTTCTCAGGACTTTAGGCTTGGACTGGAACTCCAACATTGGCAGTCCTGGGTCTCCAGCTTGCTGACTGCAGGTCCTGGGACTTCTTGGCCTTCATAACCACATGAGCCAATTCCTTACAATAAACCTATATATATTCATGCAACTGATAAATATTTTGTTGTTACAGATTTGGCTACCATGTTCTTTTTGTGCCTATTTTAACAGAGTCTCAGTCATAGCCTGCCTTCATCTCTGAAGGGACCAGGCGACCCACGGAGTGCCTCGGCAGCCTTGTTATTGCATGCAATCTTCACAGACAAGATCTCACTGCAACCAGGTTTCTACAGGAGCACAGGTGTGACATTATAGTGATGACATCATTCTCAGAGAAAATTCATTTTACGCACTAAGGACACACAGATACAAGGAGGCTTACACAAAGGGAATGGACCTTTCCACAACACAGATGTGCAAGGCCCTGCCACTTTGCTTCAATTCCTGAAAATTCCTTGGTAAACATGGAGCTACTCTATTCCTGACACTTTCAAGAAATAGTTATTGATCCTCTCAGCGTCCACAATGTTAATACAAGCCCAACATTCTTTAATTTGTGTTTTGTTTTTTGGAGGCACAGTCTTGCTCTGTCACCCAGGCTGGTATGAAGTGGCACGATTTCAGCTCACTGCAGCCTCGACCTCCTGAGCTCTAGCAATTCTCCCATCTCGGCCTTCCAAGTAGCTAGGACTGCAGGTGTGTGCCACCACACTCAGCTAATTTTGTTTATTTTTTTGTAGAGAAAACGTCTCGCTATGTTACCCAGACTGGTCTCAAACTCCTGGGCTGAAGCGATCCTCTTACCTCGGCCTCCCAAAGTTCTGGGATTACAGGTGTCAGCCACTGTTCCCAGCCCTTTAATTCTTTACTTGGGGTTCAGGTGACAACATATTTCTTATTTACAAATCTTACTTAATCTCACTGATGCTTTCTGTCATTGGCTAACTGATCCACCTTGAATGAAGCCTCCTCCAACAAGTCTGGAATCTGTCCAAATCTAAATTAACAGGTGCGCCTATGAATTCCCTCAGAGAACACACTGTGGATGCTTTAGCAACCTCTTACCATGCCTCCTGAAGTATCTGGATTGCATATGGTGGCCATAAGTAGTCCATGGGCTTCTGATGTAAAAAACAAACCTGCCCCTTTTCACTGTGTTCTGTACAGCATCAGGGCAGTTATTGCTGACCACATACTGGACCCTCTGGAAACAGAGGGCTCTGCATCCATGTCCACGAGCCTTCATGCCCATCTGGCCATCAGGCCTTGGGAAGCAGCACCCCACAGCCTTGGCACAGCTACAGAGACCTCCTTGCCTCAGGATGGAGTCAAACCTGGACCCCCTGCCATTCTCATCTGCAGGAAACACTGGCCTCCTTCATCCTCAGGCTGTGTTGCTGGAAGTCACCCATCTCCGAGGCCCCTTGGGATCGACTGAGTGACCAGCAGTGAAGTTCATCCACCTTCTGAATGGATGCCATCATCTGAAGTGATGGAGCTCAGTGGGATGTTGTTGCGGTCTTCCCTCCCTTAGCCAGGATGTCCCTGATAAAGGATGACACCCAAGCCTCAGCACAACTGGCCAAACTTGAGGTGGTCATCTCAGCACTGATGCTGGGCCAACAATTAGCCCCATTTGTACATTTTTACAAATTTTTGGCAATTGCCAAGAATTATCCACCTTCCCTCCCCATTGAATTAAAGAAACTTCTTGCCTCATGGATACTCAGAATACAATCAAGGTAACAGATGCCTTTTTTTTAACGAAGGACACAGTACAGATCTCACAGGGACACTCCTTATCCCCTGCAGAGTTCCTGACACTACTGATGGTGACCAAGGCAACATTTCATCAGAAAACACAGTGCTAGGCTTGTGAAAGTGTCTAGTAGGGCTTCCACTGCCCCTATAGGCTGCAGGCAGCTGCTTTAGTTGAGAGATAGACTGAGCTCCTCAAAGAATTCCTATTTAAGTTACAAAGCAGCGACTGGATGCCCTGCTGGGTTTCACTGTTGTCACAGGCTTTGATTACTCTAAGTTCATGCTTCTTAGGAAAGTGCACTTTTTACACCAATGCTACACAGTTCCCTCAGTTGCCTTTACTGGACATCAAGGAGTTCACATTTTTGACAACCATTCAGTCCTGGACTGTCCAAGGGGTGGAGCTAGCTCAGTACAGGAAGCTGCCTGCTGCGTGTGGATCAGTAATATCAGACTTGCCCAACAACTCACTGGAGACATGAAAACCAATGCATGGGGGATGCATGACGTCACCCAAATAATTATGAACACTCTTGTGCTGCCAGAGACCCCAGATCTCTAAACCAATGCATGAGGAATGCATGACATCACCCAAATATTTACAAACACGCTTATTCTGCCAGAGACCCCAGATCACTTTTCCTGCCTCCTGCTAAATAAATGGGGGCAGTAGCTTTGCATCGGCTTCCACATTACATTACTCATAACTGTGGCCTTCCTAATCTCTCATGTCCCTAAACACTTATTACAATGTCTCAGCAGCTTTCGCTCAGCCTCTCAAAATATTAGTCATTACGAAAATAAATGTCTGATGTTAAAGCATCAGGGGTCAATTGTATTGTGACACCTAAAATTTCATGCAGCACCCCACCATGTCCTCAGCCTAATGGCTTTCATGCCCCCACCAGACTGCAAAACTCTGAATTAGTCAAGCACATCCCTGAAGGGACGAGGGGTTACCCCACCCTCTGATTTCTACCAAGCCTGCCTCCCACACCTTCTGTTCTAGAGTGCAACACTGGGTAGACCTGCATAAATGCAGTGTCATCCCCCACTGGGCTGAATATGTGTGATGAGTAAATTACTGGGAATTTCGTCTGCTCAGTGTTTGTTTTGTCTGCAGCCATTCCCAGAATTCTAGGGCAAGACTAGCTTCTTCGCCAGTGGGGTGAACAGGAAGGAACCCGAGTGGGAATTGCGTTTTAAAAAAAATCCCTTCCCACCCTCTTAATTATGTAATGCACGCATTTTTATAGCTTTTTTGCTCATTCCATTACCTGAGGCCAGCCACTGATATTTAACCCCTCCTTAGCCTCGGAGGAGGGCAGAGGAGCACTGGTCATATTGATTTTCCTAGCGGTGACATGATTTCCTCCTGTGCCACTCAAATTCTCTCCTTCTTTAACTTGATGCTCAGTAGGTTGTGTTTCACTCGTCTTTGCAGATTGTTAGGAAGATGAGAATCAGCTTTCATTTGTGGTGTTGCCATAGAGAAGACTCCATGGTAATCTCTTTGCACAATCAACTTTTTCTTTTCCCCCAGAAATTGCAAATTCTTATGTGAGAGACAGCTTTCTGGAGTCTGCAAACATAGATTATCGTCTCTCTTTTGATGGTAAATTTCTTATATCCCCACCAACAATGAAATACTTACATATAATTTTGGCATGTCATATTGATTGCCAACTACACGTAAGAACATTCCTTGATTTTAAATCTAGACTAATTATGAAAATTAAGGTAGTCACAAAAAATTATTGTGTACAAATTTATAGACCTTAGGATTAAATGAGTTACTATTAACTAATATTTATTGTGCAGTCAGTGTATGGCAGAAGCTTACTATGTACTATTTCATTTTATACTTAAAACAATATTCTATGCAAAATGCTATAATTTCCCCATGCCTCCAATTTGGACATGATAAAACTGGGTCTCGTAAACTTTTCACCCCAGAGTTCTCTGCTTAGTAAGAAGTAGAAGTAAGTCTAAACCTAAGTTATCTGATTTCAGAGCCCATATAGTTAAATGCTCTAAATGCAGCTTCCCATGGTGATGGTGACTATGAAAGCCTGTCACATGATGTAGGACAGTGCTTCCCTGTAACGTGTGCAAGATTCCTGTGATGATGGTGACTGTGAGAGCCTGTCACATATGATGTAGGACAGTGCTTCCCTGTAACGTGTGCAAGATTCCCCTGATGATGGTGACTACGAGAGCCTGTCAGATACGATGTAGGACAATGCTTCCCTGTAACATGCACAAGATTCCCATGATGATGGTGACGATGAGAACCTGTCACATATGATGTTGGACAGTGCTTCCCTGTAACACGAGCAAGATTCCCATGACTATGGTCATGGGAATGGTGACTATGACAGCCTGTCACATATGATGTTCGACAGTGCTTCCCTGTAACATGCACAAGATTTCCATGATGATAGTGCTATGAGAGCCTTTCACATATGATGTAAGACAGTGTTTCCCTGTAACATGCACAAGATTGCCCTGATGATGGTGACTGTGAAAGCCTGTCACATATGATGTTGGACAGTGCTTCCCTGTAACATGCACAAGATTTCCATGATGATAGTGCTATGAGAGCCTTTCACATATGATGTAGGACAGTGTTTCCCTGTAACATGCACAAGATTGCCCTGATGATGGTGACTGTGAAAGCCTGTCACATATGATGTTGGACAGTGCTTCCCTGTAACATGTACAAGATTCCCGTGATGATGGTGACTATGAGAGCCTGTCACATATGATGTAGGACGGTGCTTCCCTGTAACATATACAAGATTCCCGTGATGATGGTGACTATGAGAGCCTGTCACATATGATGTAGGACAGTGCTTCCTCTGTAACACGCACAGGATTCCCGTGATGATTGTGACTATGAGAGCCTGTCTGATACGATGTAGGACAGTGCTTCCCTGTAACATGCACAAGATTCCCGTGATGATGGTGACTATGAGAGCCTGTCACATATGATGTAGGACAGTGCTTCCCTGTAACATGCCTAAGATTCACCCTGGAAGCTTATTAAAATGCAAACTCATAGACCACACTTTGACTAGCTAAGACAAGAGCATTTAAATGGATGTCCAGGTGACAGTGCTAAGATCCTACTGTTCATGTGGGCATTGGCTCACCATATGAACGAAACTTAGGACCTCCAGTTCCTGCTGGAAAAGAAATACAGATACATAGGATGTGACTGTGCATATGGAATATCTGTTGTGTTCTCAACATTGTACTAGACACTAGAGATAAAAAGTCAAATATCCCTTGCCTCTTTCTGAAAGGAGCTTCCTACACAGTGGTTTCTGACTGCAGTGTATATTTTCTCTTCTGTCCTGGGTGGGTGAGCTCTATCTCAATGTTGGTAACTGAACACTGCCCAGTGGGTTTGACGGGGGAGACCATAGCTGGCTGCGCTCCCACATAGCTATGACCATAGCATAGCTCGTGATGCCATTTCCGCCTTCTCAAAAGGCTCCCTCCAGTATCATACACACTCTTCATGATTATAAATTCTTCCTCCTTCCACTAAATGTTCCCAAATCTTGCAAAGATAAAAACATAAACCACATTCTTGTCATAATTGTTATATATTAATGATGAAAGTTCCTTACTTTTCTTTCTTTTTTTTTTTGCGACGGAGTCTCGCTCTGTCCCCAGGCTGGAGTGAAGTGGCCAGATCTCGGCTCACTGCAAGCTACGCCTCCCGGGTTCATGCCATTCTCCTGCCTCAGCCTTCCGAGTAGCTGGGACTACAGGGACCCACCACCACACCTGGCTAATTTTTTTGTATTTTTAGTGGAGACGGGGTTTCACCATGTTAGCCAGGATGGTCTTGATCTCCTGACCTTGTGATCCGCAAGCCTCGGCCTCCCAAAGTGCTGGGATTACAGGCATGAGCCACCACACCCAGCCCAAGTTCCTTACTTTTCATGTGTTTAATATTTTTTCCCAATTTATAGAATATATTGATTAAGAATAAATTTTAACCATGCACATCTATTACAAACTTCACGATACACTTTGCTATTTTTATATTTCTTATACTCTTATAAAATGTGTGTTCTGGACTCACGTTGGCTTCCTTTTCTTCCCTCTGGCTTCTATTACTTTAGGCTATGAGCAGAGATGGACGAGGTGGCTACTGTAATGGATCAAGGCTATGAGCAGAGATGGATGATGCATCGGCTGTAATGGATTAAGGCTATGAGCATCTTGTGAAGTAGGATGTTAAATCTGTAAATGTCAGAATGAATCCAAACTTACCAATTCAAAATTGGATTGTAAAACAGCTCAAAAAAGACTGAAAACACAGCTCTACACTTTAGGAGGCTGAGGCAGGCAGATTGCTTAAGTTCAAGAGTTGGAGACAAGTCTAGGAAACATGGAAAAACCGTCTCTACAAAAAAAATATATATTTTTAATGAGCTGGGTATGATGGTATGAGCCTGTGGTCCCAGCTTTTCAGGAGTCTGAGGTGAGAGGATTGCTTGAGCCCAGAAGGTAGAGGCTGCAGTGAGCTCTGATCATGCCACTGCATTCCAGCCTAGGTGACAGAGTGAGACCCGTCTCAAAAACAAACAAACAAAAATAACAAACAAAAACAGCTCTAAACGAAAGTGGTTAGAAAAGTAGCTCAAGTTGTTCCTGTCTGGTTAAATAGAAACATAAATGAATTACTTATGTGCCCCAGTGGCTTCATAATGCTGAGAGCAAAGTCAATTATTCTAGCAGGTTCTAGAAAACTTTATCATATCATGGGGTTCAATGAAAATATCAAATCATAAATATAATAATCAAATCTGAAAGTGAATCTAGTTTCAAAGACCTCAAAAGCCAGTGTTTAGGAAGCTCTTTTCAGATAGAGACAAGGGATTATTTGACTTCTTATCTCTGTTGTCTAGCACAATGTCCAGAACACAACAGATATTCCACATGCACAGTCACATCCTATGTATGTGTATTTCTTTTCCGGCAAGGACTAGAGGTCCTAAGCTTTGTTTATTTGGTGAGCCAGTGCCCAAATGAGCAGGAGAATCTTAGCACAGTCAGCTACACACTCATTTCAGTGCTCTGGCCCCTTATCCAAGCTAGTCAAAGTGTGGTCTATGGTTTTTCATTGCAAGGGATCCCCGGGTGAATCTTGTGTCTGTCAAAGGAGGAGAAGCACTGCCCTCAAAATATAGAAAAGGTGAACTAATTTATCCAGGCAGCCTGGCTATTTATTTATGTATTTATTTATCTTGTTGACGGGAAGATTCAAATTGACATACACAATCACCCTCATAAGGATTTCAGGTAAAAAACAGACAAAGATTTAGATATCAGATGTGTTTTACAATTACCGCACCAGTCTTTTTCTACAGAATCTAGTAGTATATTTCCAATAGATCTAGGTGAAAATTTCTATCTCATGAGCCTTCTGTCAGTATTTTTAAAATTGGATACTCTATTAGTGGCCAAATTGAATCTCTTACAGACATCTCACTCAAACTGCAGTCATACTTTCCAATAGGCCCCGTAAAAATCCTTCTTCTGGAGCAACCTAATATATTTATCCACCTCTTTAGACACTTAGGTAAGTATAATAATACAAGTTTTGTGTGTGTGTGTGTGTGTGTGTGTGTATTGTGTACCTTGTGGCCTTTTGTCCAGTTTCTGCAACACCTGACGCTGAGGCAAGTTTAATGTAAATAACGTCCAGCAATCTTAGAAATGTTGACTTTTATTTGCCCATCGGGAAAAAAAAGGTGAATGTTATTGTAGAGGAAATTTTCATTCTGGAAAAAATGCCTACTGTTTGAATATTACTTTCATGCTTTCCACAGATATTATACACAGATATTATATTGCAAGGATTATGTTTCAAAGTCATCAAAAATAGAAAATTCATTTTATATTTCTAGCTGAAAATAATAACAGTAATTAGCCTACCTTTGGGGAAATGTGATAAAAATACTAATGACCATCACAACTCATTAAAAGCATAAAATGTGCAATGATTTAAACTACATGTTCTTTCTATGAATCTGCGTAGAAATGTAGACACATTTGATAAATGCTATTTAAAGTCTGAGTGCTTTGGTTAATGATTCATCTATAGGTTGAAGGGATTACTTTTATCTGCCTTCATAGTGAGAATTAGATTTCTGTTCTTTATAAAGCAGGGAATACAGATTGTGCATGGAGTAAAAGCATTCAATCCTTAATAATGATGGTAGCTGTGTTGCAGAAAAGAAAGCCTGTCAGAGTAACGTGTTCAGTTTTACATCATAATCAGAGTGTGTCCATCTCTGTTGAAGGCAGAATTAAAAACGCCTTCAACATTTTTAAAATAATAGATGAAAAACATCTCAAAGTCACTTTTAAAATTTGAATTGACGATTCCACATAACAGGAAAAGGACCAGGAACATCTTAAATACTTCACGATGGAAGTGATGTTTTAAGTGTAATTTCATCAAGGAGAAGTTTTTCCAGAAAGTCTTTTGACTTCAGTAAGAAGCTTATTTACTCTGGTAAATAGTTTCTAGTAAGATGAGAAAGACTTGATTTTTTAAAAAACAATTAAAAATTTACATTGTTTAATCTAATGCTGTGATTTCGAAAGTACTACCTTTGCCCTTATAGTTACGCATGTGTATTTATATGTATTTTCTTGGTTCATTCAAACGCCAATAAAATACTTTACTATCCAGGCCCCTTAAAAGCCAAATTAATTTCTAAAAGTGAGG